>NC_000003.12:89403939-89706969 GCF_000001405.40 Homo sapiens
ACAAATAGTCCGTAATTTGAACATCTGAAGAATTTCAAGAATAACAATCTGTGGAATAAAGTTGAGTTTTAAAATTAGAGGATTTCATTGGATATTATTATGAAGAAGACAACCCCAGGGATAATTAAATTAGCGCTCCCGAAAGCCTCACACCCTCATTATTTGTTGTTTTGAAGAGTAAAAATGGTACAACTTTACTTTCTTGGGCCCTATTACTAGGGAACATAAAGGAAGCCTGACAAAGGGAGAATGGAATCATTAAATGGAGAAATTTCTATATAAAAATTAGGCATTCATCATCTATCATTTTGTAGGAAATAGAGTACTTTTGCAAAGTTTTAACCAGGGAAATGATATAAACAATTGTAACATTTATTGAGCACTTAATATATGCTTGGCACTACTGTAAGTGTTTTACTAGTACTAACTCATTTAATTCTCAAACAACAAAATTATGTCACACAGCAAACAAATATAAATCCAGGAGTTCTGACTCAAAAGAATGAACTCTGAATCACTCTTTTGAGAGAGAAAGCCAGCACTCTGTGTAGGATGGAGTAAAATGGAAATGAATAGAAACAGAGGGAGCAGAAAACAAATTCAAGTTGAATTATTAAGAAATGTAATAGCTATCAATTACATTAAATTATTAGACACCTATGTAACTCATCACTATTAGTCATTCACATATTTGCTAATTTTAGCAATGGAAATGATCTGATTTAGTTATGTGCTTTAGATAGCCTCTGTGAGTCATATATTTTAGAGACAGAAAAAACTGTGGAGAAATCCTAGTTTAATTCTGTTTTCAACAGAAAAAGAAATAGATAATTATTTTTTCTCCTATCATAGTTCCCTTCCCAGTTTCACTGAGCTTTATTTTATAAGCTGGCTAATCAAAATAACCACAGAATTCAAACCTTGCTGCTTTCTATAAATTATTACAGTATGCAAAGTGAAAAGCATGAGTTCAAGTCACCACTATATGTTTATGGAGCATTTTTGAAATATTGGATTAAGCTATTTCACAAATCATTCACAGATCTGTAGCCAATGGATAGGGATGTAACAGCCAGATGCTCTGGGAGGAAGATACAAAGATGAAACTATAAGAGCTTTATAGGAGAAATATTTGTGAAGGATAAAAGGCAGATGGAGCTGAGCCAGGCAAGCAGAACCTCAGACTGAGATGTAGGTCTGTCATTTATAAAGGCAAGGAGGGAAAGAAGAAAGAGTTGAGGAGGGGAAGCCCCAGACAGCAGTGCAGCTCTGAGGGTTTTGGCCAAGCCGATGGGGAGTTTCAGAGCACAGATCACCCATTTGAGGAGTGTTGCATTGGGCAGGGATGGCCAGGCTCCAGTAACCCTTTGCCAGTACTGTTAAGTCACTAAGGGGTACATAACCTGTGCTTGAAGGCTGTAGCTGAAGGTGCTGCAGCTGGAGGCTGTCTGCTGACTGTACTCTCTGCAGCAGGAACATCTGAGCAAGCACTCCTGTGACTGCCATAGAGGTATAAACAATAGTTTGCTGGTAGTAAAGAGTAAAGGGCTTACAACAGTTTATATTATGAGTGTGCCATCCTGCCACACTCTGAGCACTTTTCTTCAGATGCTGCTCACAGGAAACTCCTAACAACCTATCTGTCACGTTTCTTTTCTTGCATTATTTAACTAACCCTAAAACCACATATTTTAGAGAAAATCTTCCAAACTTAGATTTGTTCAGGCTGAAGATGATATGTTGGCTCCTGGGGAGGTGATAGTATTCAGATAACTAAAATCTGCTCTTCTTTTGAGTCCTGAGGTATTCATGTACTTAATCAGCATTTACCGCAAGAACAACATATGCAAATAAGAGCATAAAAGAGGCTGTTCCAGGAATTGTGTGTATTTTAAAATATCTAGAGATTAGGATGCTTATGGAGTTTGTAGGAGATGTGGCTGGGGATTTAAACATGAAACAGATTCTAAATGGCTTTTACACGCTCTGCTATGAAATTTGCATCTTATCCTGAAAGTTATAAAGAGCCAAAATTTTCCTATGCAAAACTTTTATGCATAGGAATGACATGGTCAAATTCATGGTTTAGAAGGAATATTCTGAAAGATAAAATGTGTGGAAAGCATACAAATAGAGACCAAATTAGGAATTTCTAATTATAATTCAGAAGATAAATGAAGACTTAAACTAGGATATTTAAGAGTGTTTGGTGATTAACTGGAGGCAGAATGATTAGGAGATGGAGAGGAGAAGGTTATTTTATATTTATGGTCTAGATTCTTGCTCCTCAAAATGTTGTGGTCTGGAATCAGCAGAATCAGCACTGCCTGTGTGTTCATAAGAAATATACAATCTCATTCCCCACTCCGGAATGACTGAATCTGAAACTGCTTTTCCAGAGATTCTTGAGTGGTTTTTGTGAACATTAAAGTTTGAGAAGCATTGGTCTGGGTCAAGAGTCAGTAAACTTTTTTCTGTAATAGGCCAGATAATAAATATTTTAGGCTTTGTGCACATCATTCTCTATTGCTGCTACTCAACTTGCCCATTCTAGCATAAAATCAGTCATAGACAATATACAAATTAATGAATGATTGTGGCTATATTCCAATAAAATTGTATTTATAGACAGCAAAATTTGAATTTCCTAGATTTAGAATTTTCACATGTCATGAAATCTCATTCTTTTGACTTTTTACAACTGTTAAAAGAAATGTGAAACCATTCTAAGCTCGTGAGCTGTACAAAAACAGGGGACGGGCAAGATTTGGCTCCTGGGCTTTTTTGCCAACCATTTGTCTAGGTGAATAAATGGGCCATTTATAAAGGTAGGAAATAGAGGGACAGTTTGTTGGTGGTATGTGTTGAGGTCCATGTATTATATCACTTTTCAAATGAATATGGATATTGGAGTTAAAACAAGCTTAATTAGAAAGCTTTTTATAATTGTATGCTGAGAAATCTTCCTCTCTTCTCTAAGATCCTCCCATAACTTCTGGTTCATTCAACGAGTTTTTTGCCATTGAGGACAGAGAAACCCAGTACAGCATATTTTGGACAGGAGACATTTAAATAATGTTTGATTGATGTCATTGAAACAAAGTATGTACCCATATTAATTAGGTAGAAATTTCAAGCAAAATTATGGGAAATGTCTATTTTTTTAAACATTAAGTAAAGAATACTTTCAACATTGTATCAGACATTAAGCCATACTTCAGGTAAAAGTAGAACACATATTAATTAATTAATGAATCAATCAACTGTTCCATGTAGATGTTAGTCATGATTATAATACCTGTTCTTATTTTTTCTCTTCAACCTCACAGCTTTCTCCATCTCTGGTGAAAGTAGCCAAGTGGTCATGATCGCCATTTCAGCGGCAGTAGCAATTATTCTCCTCACTGTTGTCATCTATGTTTTGATTGGGAGGTGAGTTCACAGTCTGTTTCACTATTCACTTTCTTTGTTGCTTTGTTTGCTGCCACTGATTGCTGTTAAAATGTGAAGAGTGTGCTCAATAAAATATTTTAACAAATAAGAATGTCTCCACTTGTAGTTTAGGTCCTCTCTTTCTCCTCCTTTTCTTTGTTTCTCCATCCTTAGTTTTGATTTTCTGCTCTACATTAAATTCCTGTCCCCACTCTTTTAACATACACCCCTCCTCTTCTCTCTTCTGACACTACTCCTAGTTTTTACTTTCTTTCTCTAATTATCTCCTCACTCTTCAAATAACCCCAGATTTCCTTGACACTTTCTCACCCAGAACAGGGGTAACACTGCACAGCACTAATCATTACCCATAGAGACTTTACCCTTCATTCCTTCTAACAGAAGTTGTTAAAAAATACTATAAACACATTCTAAAGCCATTATAAAAACTGAACTGGAGGGTCTGCACAGTGGGAAGCAACTCTGTGTATCTCCTCATTAGGCAGCTTTCCAGGGTTCCCAGAGAGAGGGGCTTTCTTCAGAGGATTTTGAAAATATGAAGTTATTAAACTTTCACTAAAGCATTTAATTGTTTGAGGAAAATGTTTTATTTTTATGCTTTGCACATTCTGAGCATAGGTAACTATTTTAAATATATTCCTCTTATGTGTTCGCTTTCCTTGATTTACCTCCAGGTTCTGTGGCTATAAGTCAAAACATGGGGCAGATGAAAAAAGACTTCATTTTGGCAATGGGCATTGTAAGTTTCTAAACTTGGCTTTTTGTTTTGCTTCACCGTTTTAGCTTTAGCAGTTATTGATTTACAATTGGTTAACTTCCTCCTGACAAAGAGACTTCAAAAGTAGTTTTATGGAAAAACTGAGTACATTAAATTTATTTTAGAAAAAGAGGGAAATTCATGGTTCTGCATTAAATAATTTTTACATGTGTACATTTCAGCATACTTAAGCTAAAATAAAGGGTAATCTGTGGTTTACATTCAAATAACGCACATGCTAGGTAGTAGAAACTAGTCTGCTCTGCATGGCTGAAATGCAAAGCGTATCTTCAATTTCCTTATTACTAGTCCTTTGCTAAACTCTAAATAGGAGACTTTTCTCTTTCCTAACTGCCAAGTAAATATAAACAACCTCTGTTTATTTGAAGTGCCTTATCCCATTTTATCAACCAACCTAGAAAGAGCCTTTAAAATAAACTGTTTATTTTGCAGTTACATGATATCCAACTAGTAGTAAAGCCAGAACTTTCTCTCCACATTTTAATTTACCCTTTTAATTTTTTTTAAATACACATTTCAGAAACAAAGTGTTTACAACTAACAAAAAGACTTTTTTTCTTTTTCTGGTGAAACGAATCATTCCAGGTGTTTTGCGTTCCAAACTATGGCTCAGCTTAGTGTGGCAATTACTAATCAGTAGCTTAAATAGCATGTTCTCATGGAAATTAGTACAAAGACTGTACTCATGCTTATGTGCTCCAAAATAATCTCAATATAACTAATGTAGTCTTGTAAGCATTAATTTTTTTAGTATTCACTATTGCCTTCTAAAATTATTTGCAAATTGACATGATACTTTGTATCAGCCGTTGGATTATCATCTAAAAATGATAGCTTTAGTTGTAACTCAAGTAAAAAACTTGACTACCTGTTGCTAACCTGCAGGAAGCATACAGTAGCTTGAAAATAATGCCTTTCAAAATATAAATTGATATGAGAAGAAAGCAGTATAGGAGTTTGAAGAAGCATTATTTTGTTCATCCAATTGCAGCGTCTATAAAATAATTCACACAAAAAAGCCAAAGTACTACATTCCTAAAATCAACATCACATCAGTCCAGATTAATTAGGTGACCAACTCAAAAGTCTAAAAAGAATGCCTGAACAAGTTACAGGATCCTTGTCTTTCTTTTTCTCAATGGGCCCACAAAACACTAGTGTTACAATTTTTATGCATAAATTAGAGCAGTGGCATTCTTGTGGATTAAGTCACCCTCAATTTGACTTGGACAATTGTAAATATCATCTTTAGAGCAAGACCATGCTGATTTGATTTTTTTTTTATGGGAAGCCTACATCTTACGAATTTTGAGCTTTGGTAAATTTCTGTGTGCCAATTATTAAACAGGTTCCTCTATCGTCCCAGTCTGTTTTGCTATTGTTTTTATGGTGGATTTTTGTTGAAACTTTAATTTTTTTCAAATGCACAATATCCTTATGACAAACAAAAGAGAAATGCATTTCATCCTGGCTGCAAAGGCATAAAGTAACTTATATGCATGTCATAAACTTTCTGCATCTTAATACTACAGCTGGTTTATTTCAGACCTTTTATTTGGTATTACTTTAAAAAGCTCTAGCTACGAACTGTTCCCTACAGCCTTGTTACAAATCCTATAATATTGCTTCAAAAGGAAAGAAATGTGTTTCACCTCCTAAGATCCTGTCCCCTTGCCCTTTCTGGCTGGGCCTTTTTACTTCTTTGCTATCCTTAGGGCAACTCATGCTGGTAAAATGGAAATGTAAATTATTGTGTTTGCACAGAATGAGCTGTAAAGTAGTGCAGCTTAACACGTGTGCATGTGTTTATTACCTGGTTTTCATGACAGAGCCCAGTTACTCTGTATGTTGCCCTTAATTATTGGTGTGAAGGGATTATGTGCCTCGCAGCCTGAATCACCTGATTCCTGGAATCTCTGGGGTCAGCAGTTAAAGATCAGCAGCCAGTGCTTCTACAGCGAACAGACCATTTTACTTGGGGGTGTATATGTTTATGTTTGTTTTTTTCCCCCAAATGTCTTATGGATGGAAAAGAAATTCACCTTATTTTAATTAATAGAAATTAATAGGATTCATTTTATTTGGGAATGGTTATTTAATTTTCAAATTATTTAGTAATAGTAGTATTGCATATAGGTATCCATCATACATATATTCTCTACAAGCTGACTGGTACTTAAGGGTAAATCTAAATCACACAATTTCAAGTCTGTTTAAGGCCAATGCTTATTTAAAATATGTGAGACATTGTTCCTAACAACTCATTTTATAATCTTTGTAAATTCTGATGGCAGGAAATCTCCCCCACGTTAATTTCCTTAACTTCAGCAAAGTAAAGGAGTTATAATTATGTACAAAACAGTTCCATTTTACCTTATGCTTAAAGTATCATTTTATTTCCTTGAAAAAGATTGCTAGATTTCTTTACCTTACTGTTACTAAGTAAAGGCAAATAAAAACTGGAAGATCACACATTATAGGGTTGATCTGATATGAGTTTTCATCCTTAAAATGTAACTAAATTGACTAAATGAAAAGACTCCAACAAGATTTTATTTCCTAACATATTTTAGTAATGGTTACTTACTTTTACAATTTTTCTTACTCCACATCTAGAAAAGTATGATAGCTTTTCCTTAATCTTAAAGAAGTTTCTTCTTTTAAAGGTAAAGGGTTTTAGTACTGGTAATGTTAGAAGTTATTTTAATGTAACAATAAAGCACAACAGATTACTGTATTAAAGGGTGACTCTCCCATCTGTATTTATAGGAAGGATTCATGCTTATATGGAAGAAGCATATAAGCTGATCTGTGAGCTCAAAAGTAATGGACATTTCTAAGTCTAAATTCTACCATTAGGAAACATCAATTATATTAATAATTGTAAATAAATGTTCTTAACAATAAAAACGCTCATTAGGGCAATGAGCTCTATCAATACATTGAGTGAGAACTATGCAACAGTTTCTCATGCTAGGCATTTGAATAGTATAGCTTTTTTTTTTTCTCAGAGCCCTAGCTTGTCTTTTTTGCCAAGATATTCAAGATGAAAAACTCTAAAAGTGAAGTTCTCACTTCAACAGCTACTCCACTCAGAGTTTGTCCAAAGCAAGGGACAGAACTTGTATTTCCCCATTTCTGTGGATATTGACTTCTAGATAGTGGTGTCCTTTCAAATTATCCACACCTCGCCTCAAGCTGGATAGCAGCTGCTCTTTTGTTGTAGCTGTATCAGCACCAGGCAGAAGTAGGAGTCGTGTTAGCTTTTCTTCTGCATTCCCTATTTGCCCTCTCACCACCATCCCTGCTTTCTATTATGCTGTGTCAAAGTCATGCAAATAATAGCTGAGGAAAATAGAGTTTTTACCCAACCTCTCTCTCAGCCACCATTTCTTTTACAACAGTTTATTCTCACACTTACGTTTTTTTACTCAAAATCTCTATGAAAGCTTCACAAGAACATAAATCGTAATGCATTATAACCATGGGTTTCATGAAGTTGTCTTGTAGTTCAAAGAATTGATCATTTGTTAACACATACTGTGAAATCCTAGACTTGTTGGCCTAATGTTCATTGTACTGAGGCTTCCCAGAAAAACTGCGGGCATCTGCAGTCTCCACAACTATTTAATACAAACTACAAAACTAACTCAAAGAAACGATTGGTTCACGCAGGGTGTTCAATTGCAACTTTCCCATAATTCTCCCATTATGAAGTAATATTGGAAACAGTAATATCTGATTTCATTTGTTATAATTTAATGTAATGAATGAAAATATATTTCACTATTAAGTATCCATATTCTGTGCTAAAACACACTATTAAGTATCCATATTCTGTGCTATGAATGTTATCAAAATTAAAAGCAAAATCAGTAGTCTTAGCAGATATACCATAGGAGTTACATTGCAATTTCCTTTAATTTTAGATCATATTTATATAGTTTAGTAGATCTTAGAATCACTTTTTTAAAACTCAGGGTTTTTGTTTAGAGAAAGTTAATTTATTGAAAATTGCAAATTGTCTCCACTGTTATTTTTCCAAATTATAGGAATCTTATTAATATTAAATCAAATTAAAATGATTATCCTGTATCAGTTGTCTGTAATATTTTAACTACAGGATATGAACATTTTTACCTTCAGAATAATTTAATGAATAAATATAATATGAAGGAGATTTTTATTTAATAAATTACATATATGACTTACGTTTGGAACTTAGCTCCTTAGCGCCATTATTCAACTCATAGACAATATTTATTTTACTTCTAATTATGTTATAAAGCTATACAATATGATTATATTTAACTGATACTATATTGGTGTGTATACATGTATGTATTATATATACACACCAATATAATATATAATACATACATGTATACACATACTAACAGCTTAAAGTAGATTTGTAATTACAGTGGGACATTTTGATTGTGAATGTTAATATAAGCAGTACAGTGTCAGAAGGTATGCCATTATATATCATTTAATTTATCTATAATTGCAGCCATTATCTCACCTTATAATTGTATTGAATTATTTTCCAATCTTGCATTGTAATACATATCTGGTTATTATAACATTTGTGTAATCATAAATATGCAATAGCATAATGGTGTTCACTCACTGTTGCTCCTGGTAGTAATGACTAGGTCTAATCAGTTCTGAATTATCTTTCTTCTTAAGATCCCCTTTTTTGAGTATGCATTTTCCTTCTGATGTTTTTGCAAAGAAAGCTCCTCATTGTGGTTCCTTTATATAATTCATCATAGAGAACATGTTTTCTTAAATTTTTCAACACAGTCCAATGTCACTGCCAGTTTCTGTGATACTACAGAATAAACTGAAGGTTGTGCACCTTATGGGGTAGGGATTTTTTTAAACCAATAATGCCATAAAATTTGATCTATAATTGTTTGTACAAATCTAGCTACAATTGCGCCTTTCTTTCTTTCCTCAAACAGTAAAACTTCCAGGTCTCAGGACTTATGTTGACCCACATACATATGAAGACCCTACCCAAGCTGTTCATGAGTTTGCCAAGGAATTGGATGCCACCAACATATCCATTGATAAAGTTGTTGGAGCAGGTAACCACAATGACCCTACTGCCAACTTAGTACTGTATGTGAATCACGATTGCTCAGTCTCTGAAACCTAAGTATATTGCTAAAGAAATGGGAATTTTCTGATTTCATGATCAAAGGCAAGTAATAAATAAGTGCAATATTTAATGGAATGTAATGAGTTCAAAGGTGCCAGACTTACCGGCTCACAGACCATGGCTGCTTTTGATTTATTAAATTTCTGATGTGACAGCAGCAACAACTCAATCTTCCCATAGCTGTGCTGATCGTGTGTCACAAAACCTATTTGGCTAAATAAGGATAACTGGATAAAAGTCTATTTCAATTTAGACAACCCAGGTAATTTGAAGTTTTCATTTTCAATTTTAGAATCATGTTTGGAATTAAAAGAACAAACAACACAAAGTAATATCATGACTCATCTTACATAAATTTTATCACAACTATCTTGGGTGGATATTTTAAATAATATAAGGTGCTCCATTTTAATGCTTGCTTGACTTTGAATAGTCTTATGTGTTAAAGCTTTTTTTAATAAATATACCTTTGTTCTAATTATTAATTTAAACAATGATAAATTTGTTAACAATCACCTATTAAGTGGTTAATAACAGTTGCATATTTATAAGAAAAATTTCATATATTTGTAAAATAACAGTATTTTATATATTTACACATAAACACATGATATGTGCAGTATGCATGGAAGTAAAACTACTATTCAAAAGTAAAAATGAACCATGCTCAACAATAAAAAATTTTGTACCATCATCTAATCCTTCAATGTCACTCCCCAAAGCAAACATAAACTAGTTATGTTGATACAGGAATTCTCTGTGTAACATCAGATCACATTTTCTGCAAGTACCGTATTTACATATTTATGAGTGATGTGTCTTTACAAAAATGTACATGTAATGCTTTGTTTCTTTTTCTATACACCAAAGTAGTACTGAAAAATCAAGCAGTAGTTAGTATGCGAACAGGACAATCTTGTAAATATAATGTTAATTTACTAGAGCTTCTCTTCTAATTATCTTAATTTCTTATCCTAAAATTTACATGTGCAGGTAATATTAAAATATGAAACTTGTGTTCATAGAAAGAAAATGGAGTAGTAACTTCTTTTTTACAATCTAAGACTTGAGAGTAAACATATTCGCTGTACATCTGTGCTGATCCAGTGCCAAAACAGATATATATTGTTTACTCTGTTTCATTTCTTCAGTCCTGACTTCTGAACAGCTCCATGATGCAGAAGGGTTTAGTCTGGCTGGTTTTAATGTTTCCTCACAAGAGTGCACTTTTCTCCAGCACGGAGCCTGCGGTAGCAAATGCAGCACGAGGACTTTGAACACTCAACTGGAGAATATGTTGAGAGGAGGAAAAGGTTACTTATGCTAAGCCACTGTCCAAAAGCCAGGCAGACATTATTATGATGTTGAAATTTAGGTACCTCTCCACTGATAAAATATCTTTATATAGTTATTATTGACAGACTCAGATATACAGAACATAGTGATTTGGGAAAAAGCACACCACTGAAAATAGCAGCTGATAAATGAGATAAGGGGAGGTCTATTTATACTGAATCACTTAATCCCTGATGCTCATTAAAGATTAGAATAGAGCCTCCTTCCTATTTCTGTCTTCAAGTATATATGTTAATGATTAGATATATGCCCATGTTCAGGGTTTTGCAGCCAATATTCACATTTGCCATGTTAAGAACAACAAAACTGTACTTATTTGCAAATAGGTATACCTTCAAGGTTAGTTATACTTTTCCTGAAATAATTCAATACAATATACACACCCAATTCTAGACTGCCTTGATGACCTTTCAGAGGGTTTGTATTTACCAAGTTAGAAAATGAAATTATTATTCCTAAAAGCTAACAATTTGTTAAACATTTTGTTTTGTAAAATGTAAAATATGTACACAAATAAATTAAATAGTGTAATAATAAATAAACCTGTATGTTACTCATTTCTAAAATAGCTTTTATAACAATGAACAAATGGCAACCTTGGTTGGTATATACATTTACCTACTTCCTACATTCTTAATCTTAAAAAAAATATGTTATTTATAAAAATTTAATAATTATTCTAAATTGATTACCAACTGGCTTCCATTGTTAGAAAGGCAAACCTTTCAGCCAACTACATAACTTTCAGAGTCAATTAAATTTACAGAAAGAATATATATATATATATATATATATAAGCTAATTCTCTTAAATTTCTGTCAGAAATTTTACATAAATGAATTGATGTTATGGAAACTCTCTTGTATACATTGGACTATAGAAAGAATTATACTTATACTATAAATGATAAAATTAAGACATATGAATTAGCTTCCCACAGTAGTAGATTACTAGAAGTGAGGAATTCATGACTACAATTCCTAATTTTACTCCTCAATCCAACCATTCTTTCAACGATTGAATACTAAAAATTTCTGAAGAAAGTAAATACTTAGTAAGTCCTTAATTTATCCTGTGCATTCCCATGATATTTAATTTTATTATCCTTTTTAGATAGGTATTATTATCTCCATTTCAGCACGTGAATAAACAAAAGCTGAGAATTTGAATAGACTTGTTTGGATCAAATGAAAAACCAAAATTTGAATCTTATACTTTCCAAATTTAAAGCCCATGCTGGACACTGGAGATCATAGTAGTGTCTTCTTCATAGTATTTTTTTTTGAGGATTAAACAAGATAAGTTGTGCAGGGGACTTAGCTGACACAGAAGCATTGTTCAATATGTGTTTTTATTATGCTTACTTTATGAAAACAGTAGAAGGAGGGTAGGCTTTAAAGCTAGTGTTGGAGGGAGTCATTCTATTTAAATGTCGGCTTTTTTTAATTGTTTAAATGAAATTAGCATAAGAAATTTTATTTTGAGCAGCTTTTACATTGTGCATTTTAATCAGAATACAGTCCCCATTCTTATAAATATACCTATTTCAAAGAGCAAATAAAATTGCCGCACTTATTAGAATTAAAAAATCAAGATCTGGCAGCCATGCTTTTATCTAGAAATGACAAGATCTGAATTTTTGTTTCATATGGGTGCAAAGTTAATTGAATAAGACAATATAAAACTTGGCCAGATGAAACTATTGCAAATTGCATTTGCCCAGTCTTTGTTAACTTTTACAATACAGTTCTTTTATTTTTTATTTTTAATCTTTTTCTATTTTTAGCAGCTTTATTGAGATACAATTTACCAACCATAAAGTTCAGCTATTTAAGTATACAATTCAGTGATTTTTAGTATATTTTCAGAGTTGTAATAACCATAATTGCTATCCCAATGCAGTTATTTTAAATTATTAAAAATATAATTGAATTAATATTAAGCATTTCTATGTCTTTTATAATATATTGGCGGCTATTTCTAGTGTTTATCTGATGAAATAATCACATTACTAAATGTGGGGAATTTTAAAAACTAGCATTGCTGAAACACAATTTTCATGAATTTCGAAGGTAAATATATACATGTACATGTTTATGTGTCCAGGTGTCCCACTTACAACAAAGAACACTCTTAATTGGCTCATTTAAAATTTGAACTCCTACTTTTCATATCTCTAGTATGCTATCCTTTACAAATATATGTCCAGTAAGACATGAGCCTTGTTATCGCCATCATTACCATAACCATCTCTTACATTAACATAGAATTTGGCATTTTATAAAGCACTTTCATATTCATTTGTCAGTTTGATTTAAACAGAAACTCTTAAAGGGTAGTTAGGCAATTTATCCTTTAGGTGGGTCTGAACTCAGAGAGATAAATAGTGACCAACACTTAGATGTCACCTACTGTGTGTCTGGCACTGTTTCAAGTACTTAACATACATTAGTTCCTTTAATCCCACAACAGCTTTATGAGGTAGATACAATAAGTGTCCCCCATAGAGATAGGAAAAGATAGGTACAGAGAGGTTAAGTTACTTAAAATCACACAGCTAATATGTGGCAGAGTCAGAATTGGACCCGAAGCAATTCGGCTGCAGGATCCATGCTCTTAACCAGAGTTCTGTACTATCACTCCTGTAAACTGACAAGTGACATGTCACTTAGAATATGTGATGATGACATCTACATTTAAAACATGCTCTATTATACCATGTTGATGTATGATAATGGCAGAACTTTCTGGTTTTCCCAAGCTTAGTGTTTACACAAAGTGAAACAAAGTAAATGGGAGCGCTCTGATAATGTTCGGATAACCCTATATGAGGAAAGAAACTCTTACTCTTGTTTACAATTCTGAGAATAATTTTATCACACCATAACTTCTCTTTCTCCTAATATTCTCATATCTAAATGGCATATTCTTCCTTCGAATTAGCAAGATCAATGAACTTTCTCAAGTTCTACTCCCTGATTCTTTCTGTATCCTAAGGAACACTATAGCTGTAGATATCATTATCTTCTCTACACTTCCTCAAAGGGAATAAACTAGTCCTGTCTTGTTTACCATTATATCTATCTCTGTGTGTTTTATACTGTATGCAATACAGTTGCTATTATGAATATTTATTAAATAAATGCATGAATATCTGCTTTTGGATTTTAAGTGACTTTGCCAAATTAAAGCATAAGTCATTGCTTTGAAAACAGGGCAAGAGTGGATTTCTGGGGATGAGTCAAGCCTGGGGAAGGTTAAAGCTTCCCAGGGAGAGAGACACCATTTGTAGTAATGTAGCTGGCAAATCAATAGGACAACCTGCTACTTTTGTGGTTCAAACCACTTGCTTGAAAACAAAAATAGAGAAGAATCATATCACTTCAATCTGACTGACACGTAGGGCATGAAGCTCATAGAAAATTCACAGAGAGAAAATTGGACCAAGATTATGATTCCACTCCATCAAGAGCCAAAAATTAATCATATAATTAATTCTAAAATATTTCAAGAAAAGCTCATTTGACATTAAAAACTATTTTTAATGTGATGCAAAACATATCTGATAATCCACACTATGTTAGAAGTTCTTCTGTGAACAAAGGACATTCTATAGAACTCCCATGTGGCAATCATCATGGCAGCATGGGTACAGATAAATAAATGTAAAGGGTATCTGCTCTAAGTGAGCTCCAAATGTAATGAATTGATGATTAGTAAATCTCTCAGTAAAAATGTATTTTGAAGGTAGTGTCCATACTAGTTCTAGGCAGTTTTATATCAACTGGACTATAATATTTAAAAGTCAGTAACACTCTATATGGGACAAATTCTGGATTAATTGCACATTGAAGACTTTTTTTTTTAAATTGAAGAAGATGAATCTAAAATATTTCTACAGTATTTAGATAAGGCATGTTGTTTTTATTTGATACTGTTATATTGTTGTTGTCCTCCAGAAGCCCAGAGACTTTTATAGCTGGTATGTCAGTAAAGCAACACACCAATACTCCAATAAAATAAATTGATAGCAGATGCTTTCCTTCTCATTTTTAGAGTCTGAATATATAGCCATATTGGCCCTCGGTAAAAACAGAATTGTTAAAATATCTGAAATTTAATCCAATGCTCACATTTAATCACTGTTGGTGCTGTCCTGTTAATTTCTCTGAGGTAATGGTAGCTATGACAACAAGGGGTAAAAAATCTAACATATGCAGCTTTCAACTTATCTCTCCTTTTACATTACATTATTTATAGTGTCGTACTTTAAAGTATATGGAATTTTCACAAGGTTCATTTTCCAACAGGGGGTGACTATCCTGAGGTTTTCTAGGCAGTTTCATATGATTATCTTTCAAAATAATTTGGAGTACTAGAGTGTACATCTTGCAGGTCAAAGGCACAAATATTTTAAATGGAAATTTTGAAATAAAACAGTTGCTCTCTACTGATGAATTTTTATTATAGAATTCCTTACATTTTGTTGCTGTTCTGCTTTATAACAGGTGAATTTGGAGAGGTGTGCAGTGGTCGCTTAAAACTTCCTTCAAAAAAAGAGATTTCAGTGGCCATTAAGACCCTGAAAGTTGGCTACACAGAAAAGCAGAGGAGAGACTTCCTGGGAGAAGCAAGCATTATGGGACAGTTTGACCACCCCAATATCATTCGACTGGAAGGAGTTGTTACCAAAAGTAAGTAAAGTAGTCATAAGACCTGTGTTTCCGTATGTTGAGCAAAGGTTGTTTAAACCCAACCCCAACCATTTAAGAATTTTGGCTTTTTTTCATAAGTATCTCAGTTTTACCAAAAAGAAAAGTTTAGGAATAGCATGCCTTTCTTTGACAGTAGAGCAGACCTTTAAATAATATTCTATTGACAGTACTGTTTTAGACCTCAAAAAATTTTAAAAAAATACTAGAAGCCACATATTAGACCATTTAAAGGTACGCTGATTAGCAGACAGTTAAGAGAAGAATTGTGGGGAATTCTCGGCTATGTAAGTAGCAAAGAAAAACAATGACTCAAGCTTGACAGGAACTCCCAGCTAGCTGCCTTTTCTTTTATTGTTCATCAGTTTTATTTAAAAGTTACAAATCTTTAACCTCCTCCCACCCCCTGCATCCCTGCCTTTAGGAAAATTTTGGGAGTCTAGGAAATGCTTCTGAGCTGTACAGATTGGAATCACAATAGACCCAAGGCCGTTTCTTGGTTCTCTGTGGATTTTAAATAGTTCTGATCTAGAAACCCAGGTGGATTCTTACTGCTCTGTGGAAGCTCTGGCTCACAGCCCATGATAGAGATGTGAACTTATTTCCATGATGGTTTCTCCAGCAGGTCTCAAAAGGGATCCTGTGAGGCGGATCTGTGATTTTTGGCTCCAATCCCTATATAAGTCTCTTGAGAATACTCTGGGACATTTTTCCTCAAGATTTTGGAGCTCAGGATGAAGAATAAGTGAAATTGGCAGCAAACTTTTTAGAGTGAAAGACAACATATGGCAGGGAATTTGGCATCCTTTAGGGGATAATTCATTGGCACCACATTTACATACTCTATCGTTACCAACAGACATATTTTTCATAATTATATTTCTCTTTACCATTTTATAGAGCATTTTCCAAATGGCACTAATACTTATTCTCACTTTAGCATGACTAAAAAGGCATTTCCTTCCTCATGAGAGCATGGTTTAATTGAAATAGACTTTGATTTCCTTTTGAGTTTTCATATATAAAAAGTGGAATTAAGAATTTAACAATGTGGAATAGTTCAACATACATTGTAAGTCCATATTAATTCTTATAAGGCTTTTTATTTGTTTGCCTATGTACTCTACAAAACCAGGCCTTATTAATAGAAATATTTTCTGATAAAAAACATTTTTAAATTTTAAGTTAATAATTAATAAAAATGGGCATAATTAGTAAGGATTGGGAAAGTGTATGAATCCTTTGTTCTTTCTGAGCAAGGCTATACTGTTTTATGTCTGTACAGTTACAGTATCATGTCTCATTGGGATTTTAGTGTCATTTAGCCATTTAATGTTCTCCATTACATCTGCATCAAGTGGTGGTTGCCTTTTAGCTCTTGAGCCTCCTGGGAAGAGAAAACTCCCTTGTACTTATGAAGCCATTCTTCTAACTCTCAATTTTTACAAGTTTTTCATTATGAAGTATCTGTTATGTGCCCACATTATACTATGACATTATTTCATTCTTACCACTACCCTGTGAATTAGACATGATAATTTCTCTCTTACATTTGAACAAACAATAACTGTAAAGGGTAATTAGCTTGTATAACTAGAAAATGCTAGAGGTAGCACTGGGAACTTGTTCTGTTCATTTCACCCCATCCCCAACTCTGAACCCAAACAGGTTTCTACTTGTCTTTTCCTGTATTCTACTTATTCTTTTATATCGTTACTTTAAAAATCTTCTCTAACATAGTGAGACATTCCTCAATCTTCAAAAATTTCTGGAACTATTAATAATCCTTAATATCTAAAACAAAATATAAACTCTCAAAGAGGGCAAAAACCCATGTTATTTGATGACAAGTGACTAAAATAAATCCTGGATCATAATAGATACTTAATTTACCAATGTTGAAAAATTAAAAAAAATATTGATGAAGGAAGGAAGGAAGAAAGAAAAGAAGGAAGGAAGGGAGGACACAACAATATCTTTTAACAATAGGTCTTTCTTTAGTATTTGATTCATTAAATTGAATACACTTTTCAAAGGAGTGCATTTAAATAACTACTTCTATCACCCAGAGAGTGATGAAAAAAAATGATTACTTTTTAGCTTGAATAGAATCATAATCTAACTTCTTCAACATGTGTAATTAAGAAAAAAATGAGCTAAGAGTCACTATCACACAAATATTAGGTTCTAATTTAAGCTTACTAATAAACTCACTCTATTATTTTGTCAGTCATGAGTTGATTTTTTTGTTTCAGTGTTATGAATTATGAAAGCTACTCCTTATATTTTCCTGTTTCCTATAAATGCATTTACTGGATGATAAGCAACATTAAACTATAAATGTTGTGGCAAATTTCCTTTAGATATAAAACTGAAACAATTAAATATAGATTATGGTAGACTGACAAATCTATGAAACAATCTCTAAGACAAAAAATGTAGAAAAATGCACTAAAATGACTTTTAAAAATTGCAGGTATTATATATTAAACATCTTACTCAAACCGACTCTGTAACATTCTAATATGGATTACAACTGCCTTATTCTTAGGGTGAGAGTTCTAAATTTGATATATCTCCCTGGTCAAATAAGCATGTAAGAAGCTGCCAAATCTGACTATATAAATCCCAGTCATCTCATATATTGTAAATATAATAGAGTAGTAGCCCTAGAATTAGATTTTGAACTCCTTGGTGGCATATTTATAAGCTCTTAGTCTGGCACCCGGTAACATCTGAGAGGAAATAGAAACTCCTTACAATAAAGTTGATATGTTGTATTTAACACACACACACACACACACACACACACACACACACACACAGAGCGATTGTGTTTCCAAAAGAAGCTATTTATTCTACTGCTATTATTGTCTTTGTTTCCTGAGATTTCTAAAACAATCCACCTGCAGAGATCAGAAAGCACATCTATACATGCACACATGCACACACACACACACAACTAGAGTGATGCAGAGCTTATAATTTAATGAACAAAATAATATTTTCAAAAGCAGGCATATCAGTATCTAGATTAATAATCAATGATCTGAGTTCAAGTTCTGAAACAACCTTACTCCTCTGAGAACTCCTACAAATCAGACAATTCACACATAATTCATTTCTTCGCTTGTAACAAAATTAAACAGTACTACTTTACTATTTTTAGATACTAAAGATCAAATGAGATTACATAAGAATATATTAAGTGGCAAAGAACTGTGCAAATCTAAATTACTCCTCTGGTTGTTTGAGATTTTACCAATCAATTTGGGTGTATAGAAAAAAATTCTTGAAAATAATTCTTTTTTTGCTCAAAGATAAATCTGTTTATTATTGTTATTCGATTGTGTGCTTTGAAACACTAGGTCAAATACAATGTATCATTTTCAAATCATTTGAAGAAAACTTTTCTTAAAGCTTTTTATTCAGTCATTGTATTTTCATTTAGCCACAAACAATTTTAATGTTTTTGAGCCTGATGGTCTTAAACAGGAGAAGGTGAGAGAGTCTCTGATCTTCAAAGTAGCAGAAAGCGGGGGGCACAGGCTCTGCTCACAACAAGGTACTAACATGTGTTATCAATTTTAGCTGAAGTTCAAAAGGATAGAACTTGTTCTTAGCAAATGTTTGATATTTCTGCCATCACACCATTAGTCAAATAATGTTCAGACTCCAAGAACACCTTCCATTGGCCACTTTTCACCTAGCGAAATAGAAGGAATTATATTGGATGAGATTAATGTATTTTGTCTTGCATTATTTTCAGGAAATTTTAAAAAATTACCATGTAACTTAAGTGTAACTTTGCATTATTGAGGAATGTCATGGGCAGAACGTTAAGATGATTTTCATAATTAAAACTTATCTGTAGTGGCATGAGTATCCACTTTCACTAAAAGCTTAGCCATTGGCTTCCAGTTGCCTGTTTCCCTGCATGTACGGTAAGGACACATTTCTGGAATAAGAGGTCATCATTTAGTAACAATGCCAAATTCTAGTTATTTTCTGTTTGTTTCTCTCTAAAAATATTCTAAATTTGTCTTAAGTGTACTACACTTCATGTCATCTTAAAAGACAATACATACGTTGTACTTACTATACTAGTAATTTACAGAGATAGTTTGTTAGGATAACAAATTTTGGAAACTCTAATGACCCAAGTTTTATCATGGATTCATGGCTGCAAATTGTTAAAATGAGTTCAGAACATGTCTGTCTAAGTAACCACATCAACAAAATTAAAAAATCACTGCTCGATATATTAGAAAAATATAAGACAGGGAATGTTATTTTTACATATTTAAACAGCTTTTGTTACTTCTTCATCACTGTCCACTTATGTCCCTTGGATGAATAGGCCATTTTGACTTATAGAAAAGTGTGGTATTGTGTATTTTTCTCATTTATATGTATAGGATGGTTTTCTGATATTTTTGAAAAATTAAGATCAACTTACAAAATTTGTTAGAGCACGATTTGTGTGTGCCCAAAGACACCATTTCTAGAGCACTGGTTTACATATACAGTAAATCTCCTAGAGAAAGAAGAAATATGATGAAGCACTAGTTTAGTAGCTGTCTGAATAACTGTGGTCTTACACAACCTTTGCAGAAAGGGAAAAAAAGTATCACCTCTAAATGCCGAGGCTAGTAATATCTTGATACCAAACTATACAGCTATTATCAGAAAGTATAATAACATTATTGTAATGCATAAACAAAAATTTAATAACACTAGAATAATTGTGAAGCCATATCTGAAAGTGTATCAAAAAAGATACTACACCATTTCCCAAGTGTAGTTTATTCCAAGTATGAAAAGTTGGTTTTGTATTTAACAATTCTAAAAACTCATAACATTAATAGGTAATAAGAAAGTTCTATCTTAATAAATGCAAAAAATAAACTATTTTAATTTTAATTTTTTATTAGCACATCATACATAGAAAATATGTATTCCTGATAAAGGTATGTAAACAGCCCCCAAACAAACACAAACAAACCCACAAATGTCACATTTAATAGTAAAACTTTAAAAGCATTTCTTTTCGAGAGAAAACAAAAAGCCTGTTGTTATTATTATTTCAATTCAATATTGTACAGGAAATCTTAAACCTTTTTTTTTGACTTTTACAAATAAATCAGCTCCTTTATTTGCATTATTTTGAGCACTCTGATAATGACAGTCTTCACTGATATTTTTGAAATCCTGTTTTTTGTTAAATAAGCTTTTCCAATTAGGCAAGCAAATAAATAAAAGAAAGCTTGGAAAGGAGAAAAAAACAAAACTTTTTATGAAATCAAACAACATATTAAGAGTATTATATACATTCATTCCACTTACTGTATGCCTTACATTATTGTGCTTACTGCATGACTCAGCTCTAACTAGCATAATGGACAGTAAATTAGTTGTTATCTTTGAAGATGTTAAATTTCGTTTCAAGTTAAGCATAAATAAATATAAATATTTTTCAAGCAGCTGAAAGTAAAGCATTCTATGTGTTAGGATTGATAGAGTAGGGTTGGTTAAGGAAGTCTTGGAGAAAGTGTTTCTCATCCTGATTTTGAAGAAAGAAATTATCTCTAGCCAGTCTGAAATTATAGACCTAATTTGATCAATTGTAACTGGCACAGTGGTAGGTGTTGGATTTAGAACTACAGACAAATGGGCTTGGTCTTTGCTCTCATTAACTCATAGACGTAATAGGGGTCATTTCCACACAATAATGTCTTGATTAAAATGGAATTTGGAAGACGTTGCCCTGTAATTTTATAATGATTTAATAAGAAACCCACAAAAAAAAATACCCTAACTCAGCTCAATATTTCATTTCAATATTTCAGTTCAATATTCATTACAATATTTTTATCAGTTAGGTATGATATGTGAAAATCTATGATACATTTTTTATTCTCATCAAAGATGATTCAAATCTTCTTTCCTGGAAATAGGCAAATTTTGTCAATTTTTTTCAACTTTCCATCTCCCGTTTTTTTTTTTTTTCCTTCCATCCTGACACTGATTATATAGATTGCTAGCGGCTAAGGTCAAAGGTTTTGATTTTATAATATACCCTCATTAGAGTGTGTTTAATCCTTTTGAAAATAAGACATAGAGTGTTAGACCCAATGACTGTTGTTAATAGGGAGTTAATAGCATTTCCATTTGAAATTATTAAATGTAAATATTTAATAATGTTTCAATATCTGATAAACAGTTTGTTTGAATGAAAATATTTTAATCTGAAAAACAAAGTTTGTTAGAAAATTTCAAAGAAAATATCTTTATGACTGACTATATATGTATATATATATGCGTATGTATGTGTATATATTTCACATTATTCTACTCTATAAGAAATGTGATTGAGAAGGTTGTGTTAAAATAGCTGGTGCTGAATCTGGAATTCTTAGACATTTTGAATCATATTTCTTCTGTCATCAAGCGGCGATTCAATGACTAGTAATAGCTCCGAGCCACTGGGGATAGTTGGGAAAAGGAACTGATTATAACAGACTGATTTGCTTCCCTTTACTTTACAATTGTGAAAGATCATCATTTTATCTAAACTCATAAATCAACTTGAGAACAAAAGCAAAACTCCACTGCAAATTTTGTTTTGCTCATTTTTGATGGTTTCATTTCAGCAAGTCATAGAACAGTACTTTCATTGAGTTTAGTATGTATACCCAGATGTGTTTTGGGGTTTCTGAGAGCCGCAAATGATACAAGCTTTGTCTGGAGGAAGACGATCATGTCATTTGTAAATCAAAATACACCTGGAAGAGCATGCAAACTTGAGTACAAATACATGGCATAATGCGCAGATGAGCTGGCATTTTATAAATAATTTCCCACCACATTTAATGCATGTTGGAACTAGTTCTCGCCACTACAGAAGTCTCTTTTTCTTTAACCCTATTTACCATAATCAAAATCACAAGGGAAACCCTAAGTCAAGATACTGTTTCCCAAGGTAGAATATTTGTAATTCTGTTTACTCTTTGTATATTTGATTTGCAGAATCTTTGAACGTAATGCAAAGCACATTTTCAGACTTGCCCATCTTAACTGATGTGTTTACAAATACCTGAATTCTAGAGTTAAATGCACGCTGATGTGATTTCTGAATGGTCATGGGGCTTTGACTTAATTGACTGGTTTGATTTTTCAGCTACTTTTATTTCCCTTCCCAAACATCCCACTAGACATGCTAATGAGAAATGGTCATAAGGCTGGGAGCCAGAAGGAAAGGAGTGATAAGTAAAGGTCTGAGTAGTATAAAAATGCAGTAACTGGCCAATGATATTGAGAGTTGGTGGTGTGAGGCAAAATATCTGTGACTGCATTTGAAGTGTGCATTGAATTTTGGTAACATATCATTCCTCCCAGCACTGTATGAAGGAGGAAAGACAGAAACTGATGGTGATTTATAGAAAGTACACATATGCAGGATTTTATTCATTCATTCATTTATTCATTCATTTCATTTCAGGCCAGGCATCTAGAATCAAACAGTCTCTAGGGAACTGATACTAATTCAGGAGAGATCTAAGTTTCCAAGGAAATGGTGAATCTTCCCTTTCTTTTTGAATATTGTTTAATCAAAGTTTAGTTGGAATTTTGATAAAGCAAATTCTGGGGGCTCAAGGTTTTGACTGAAGCAATTTTTCAGATATTACTACATTAACTAGATAGATGTTACATGGTGCCTTAAAGACATAAATCAGTGTCTTAACGGAAAATAGATCAATGTATCAAGTGGTTGTAACATGTATAAAAGTTATCTCAAAAACTATAGAATTTAAATAGATTTTTCCTTAATAAATAAGACATAATTCCTGGAATATATTCAAATTACTGAATGTAAAAGTATAACCTTCATGATGCTAACTCATAATTTACATTTTGTACAAATCAAAGAGTTTTTTACACATGAAAGGAAAAAATCAAGAAAAGGAAGTTATTTTCTAGCATCAGAATGGCAAACTAACCTCATGATAAATAAGACACATAGGAGGAAAAGTTGTGTTATACAGTTATGTGTACATTAATGTTTGTTTAACATCTGTTATTTGCTTATGAGTTTTCAGCAGTACTCGGTTAATACTCAACTCACGTCTTCTGGACTTGGAAAAGGAGTGATTTTCCTTCCTGTAAAATGCTGGACTTATAACTAAAATAGTATAAGAATAATAAAGTAAGGGAATTACAGTGTGGTAATATGTATAGGTTTTGAAATTAGAGACAGTCGTGTTTAAAATTTTCTTGACTGCTATCTAATTGTATTACCTCAACAAGTTGCTTAAACCCACAATGTTTTCTGGGTAGGAATCAGTAAAATGGGAATAATGCATATTGCTAAAGCATAAGTAAGCTGTGAGGATTAAGTGATATAACAAATGTCAAGTACCTAATGCAATGTTACATAATTCTAATCATGAAAAAAAAATTACCAGTATTTCTTTTATATCAAAGCATCCTTTTTTTGGTATTTTTCTTTTTAAAATGTTAGTTTTACATAATCTTCTTAATTGTTACCATAATGTATATAGAATTATATTTTCAGCTTTGTATAATATTACGCTGTAACAATTGTCTAAAGTGCTTAAGTCTTAAGGTCATCATTTTAATTTAAAATCATCCATAGCTTTAACATGCAATAACTGACTAAATCATTATCTGTAGTGGAACATTTGTTATATTCATAGCTCTGTGTATCCACTATACTTAGCACCTTTGTGTCTGATGCTTTTTCATATGTTACATTTTTCCCTCATTATCAGTTTCCGAAAGTGACAGCATAGTGTGTACAGGTTGCAACTTTTAGCTTTATAACTTGTTAGATGTATGATGACCAGCAAGTTAATTAGCCTCTGTGTCTCAGTTTTCTCATGTGTAAAATGGAAATAATAATACTTAATATGTTAATATATAAATTAATTACACCAGCATCATGCTCACAATAAGTACTATTTAAATACATTAAAATGCTGGGTTAAAGGTTTCATGGTATTTTAGGCTACATATTTGCAAACTGGTTATTACAAGTTACTGCCAATAGCAATTTTAATTTCAGTTTTATTTTCCATTTAAACATAGCATTCATTTCATAATTTTTAAGTGTTAAACAAATTTTGTAAATAATTATAACTATTATTCTGAATTGTTTTGTAGAACTCGTGTAGAATCCATAAAGGCAGAAATTTTGATCTACTTGCTCCCCACTAAGCGGCACAAAAGAGAACACCTAGCACAGTGCCCTACACGTATATATGTGTGTGTGCACATATAGCACATATAAATACCCATAGAAAGAATAAATAAATGTTAAATTCCTAACATTATCTTGGGCTTGGAGGCAGAAATATTTGGTGTTGAAGATAAGTGAGAATTTAATTAAAGAGAGGAAAGGGGCATATTTTTTGTTTACTTGAAAGGCCTGTCAAACCAATTTAGATGCTATTGGTCATGGGCCTTTGTTCTGGAAACCAATCTTCTCCAATTTTTGTGGTTTTTAAAGTTTTATTTTCTAATGAAACCTAGGGCTTTTTAAAATTTTTAAAAATTAGAAGACAGGCAAAGTTCTTACATCTCTATAATCCTCAGGTAAATCCAACTATATTATATATGTTCATTGTATAATACTTGAACTGTACTGATTATTATTTATTATTTACTGTATATCTAGGTAAGCCAGTTATGATTGTCACAGAATACATGGAGAATGGTTCCTTGGATAGTTTCCTACGTGTAAGTAAGATGCACACACATACATATATATGAATAAATTGCTGAAAACATTAGAGACACCCTCCAATATTGTGCCAAGCAATTCAGTAATCTAAGTTTAAAGTAAAACTGAAATCTTCTGAGGCTAAATAGACAGAGAAGGGCTGTAAAATTGCATCTTTTTTTGCAGCATTCAAATGTTAATGGTTTATATTTTTAAAACAAATTTGTGAGTTCTTCTTCAAAAGACTCTTTTTATACTGCCAAGATTCACACTCGTTAAATAAAAATAAAAAAGAATCCTAAAGCAAGTAATAAAACCCACTGATGTAAGACAGAAAGTCTCTTTTTTAAGTAATCTCAGTCTGATATAATTATTTAATCACAGTCTGATATAAGACAGCCCATCTACTTTCCAAACAGTGCTGTCAGAAAATAAGCATGTGCTATAATGCTAAAGTATATATAGTTTTAATTTAGATATATCATTTTGCTGTTAGATATGTACATTAATTTTTTAGATTGAGAAGCTTTATACGTTTATCTATCATCTATCTATCTATCTATCTATCTATCTATCTATCTATCTATCTATATTTTTTGAGATGGAGTTTTACTCTTGTTGCCCAGGCAATGGTGCAATGGTGCAATGGTGCAATGGTGCAATGGTGCAATGGTGCAATCTTGGCTCACTGCAATCCCCGCCTGCTGGGTTCAAGTGATTTTCCTGCCTCAGCCTTCCAAATAGCAGGGATTACAGGCGCCCACCATCATGCCTGGCTAGTTTTTGTATTTTTAGTAGAGGTGGTGTTTCACCATGTTGGCCAGGCTGGTTTAGAACCCCTGACCTCAGATGATCCGCCCTCCTCAGCCTCCCAAATTGCTAGGATTACAGGCATGAGCCACCGCACCTGGCCATATTTTGACATACTATATTTCACCATAAGAAAGTGAATATATTAAATTTACATCTATTTCAACAAATGTTATGTTCAACAATTTCATGAAGTTCAAGACAATACCAATTACCAGTCATTGCAGGCGATAAGAAAAGACATAGGCCCTGTCCTCAAGGTGCTTTTGTTGCTATATAAATTGAGATGGGCAGATGACAGAAAGATAGATAGATAAATAGATAAAGAAAATATGTAGTATCATTCATAATCATGGAGGAAAATTTTAAATTTTCTAAGACTGAGAAAGGATATGCTTTATATTAAAATCCATTAGCCAAATAAAAATTTTAATAGCAATTATTTTCATAATCGTTATTTCAAAAATAAACATTTCCAAAATCAGGTGAGTTAAAATATTATGATAAATATTCTTTCAAAATTATCGTTTGTAATTAAACATGGAATTTTATATAAATACATTATCTATACATTTTAAACCTTATGTTTCTATTTTAATCCAAGATTAAATTAGATTGGAAGCTGGATTATGTGATTTAGTTTCTTATTGCTTTCTATTTTGTGACTACAATTCAGAAGTGGGTAGAAAAACAAATATCCAATAAATATTTTTGACTAATTATGAACTAATTATTTATGATAATGTTTAAAAATGTAGCATCCACCTTATTTGAAACAATTCATAAAATATCAGGAAACAAAGAAGGGGAAATGAAAATTCAATCAAACAAATAAATATCAACCTAAACTAGCCACAAGATTCATTTCACTTTTTTGTTCTTAACCTTAATGAGTCTGAGCAGGAGTTAGTTTTTTTGTCACATAAGGACCAGGAAAGTCCTTGCTTTTAAACTGAAGTCAAAGAACGTTAAGATACTTCCTGTTACAAAGTATTTGATAACATAGCCAGTGTGTTATTTTGTTTCAGCCTTGTATCCATTTGCCACATATCTTTGTCTTGAGTGCTTAGGACTAAAGTGTGTATAGTCAGTCTTGTTACAAAATTCAATATGTGAGATTTTAACCAATAAAGATATATCTTTAAGAAATAGGAACGTATCTTAATTGTACATTTGAAATGCTTCCCAGAAACACGATGCCCAGTTTACTGTCATTCAGCTAGTGGGGATGCTTCGAGGGATAGCATCTGGCATGAAGTACCTGTCAGACATGGGCTATGTTCACCGAGACCTCGCTGCTCGGAACATCTTGATCAACAGTAACTTGGTGTGTAAGGTTTCTGATTTCGGACTTTCGCGTGTCCTGGAGGATGACCCAGAAGCTGCTTATACAACAAGAGTGAGTAACTTAGATTTTCTCCTTTTTTATCATTGTTTTCCATCTTGTATCATGTTGATTTGTAAATAAGTAGAAATCATGACCCAAAACGTGTTGTCAATTATGCTTTCCACAATAGAAAACATATCTTAAAATTAAAATATTATTATTTATTCTGGGTAAATAGATGGTCACTGTTTAACATTTAATGATTTTAACTCTGAAATTCTATACCTCAGTTTAATGTTCCCCACCAAAAGCAGCAAGATTCTCACATTCCTCAAATCTTGATATTTTTAAATGTACCCATCTTTTCACCATGGTTGAGTCACCCTGAGCTAGCAGATTGGATAAATTCTAAGGACCTTATCCCAGTACATATCATTTTAAAGCACTTTCAAATCAATTTTTTAATAAGTAATACCTATTTATACTGTAAAAATGTCAAAACAGACCTATAAAGAAAAGTTGTCCATAATTGTGCCATCCACAGACAACATTTATAAGATTGTGAGTCAATTCTTACAAATTTTTCTTCATACTCATATGTACAAACTTGTTCATGAATATATTATTTAAATACAATTATTCATAATACAATTGTATGCCATTTCTCTCCTTACCAATACACTTCTTGAATATATTTCATTGTCAATAAATAATCTTTAAATTTTTACATGTAGTAGGTTGCTGTATTCTATATTGTTGTATCTTTTTTAAAGCAAACCCTAATTAGTGAGCAAATTATTATTATATTTAATTTTTCCATATTTTATACCAATGTATGTGATCTGCCTGCATTCATAATTGTTATGAGCCTCATGATTTTCTAATGATACATTCCTAAAAATGAATGTTTTGTGTCAAAGATTACGTGAATATTTTAAAAGCACACTTTACTACACTCTTGATAAAACTAGGTATTTTCATTAATTTTACTATTATCAGTTAGGATAAATTGAATGTATATGTTTTAATTTGCATCCATTTAATTCAAAATGCATTTGAATTTTTTGTGAGCTTTTCTGTTGTTGTTTTGTTTTGTGTTTGTTTTTTGTTTTTTAGGCAGGGTCTCACTCTGTCACCCAGGCTGGAGTGCAGTGGCACAATTACGACTCATTGTAGCAGCCTCAAACTCCTGGCCTCAAGTGATTCTCCCGGGCTCAAGTGATCCTCCCTCCTCAGCCTGCTGAGTAGCTGGGATTACAGGCATGGACCACCAGCCCCAGCTAATTTTTAAGTTTTTCTTTAAAGAAAATTATTTCCATGGTAGAAATTTAGAAAATATAGATAAAAAACAAGTAAATGTCTAATAATCATTACTATTAATACTACACAAACATAATTATTAGCATTTTAAATTTAGCCTTTCGATTTTTTTAAATAAATTTTCACAAATAAATAACTCCTCTTTTGGCATAAAGTTACAAAAATGGGATTATACTTTATATACTGATATATAAAATGATTTCAACATACCGATAATTTAGGCACTTTACTTATATATAAATCAATGCCATTTTGTTTTCTGCCCTGTTTTAACTTAAAAATATAAAATACATAAGTTTCCAGATGATTAAATATTTTTACAATATTCAATAATGTCTAATACTCTATTCATATACATAATTTAATTAAATAAAGCACTATTAATTGGGCAGAATTACAATATTTTCATATTATGAGTGATACTTTGATGTCATGATATCTATTTTGTGTCTGTCCATGATTACCTCCTTGGGATATTTCTATAGAATTAACATTACAGGATCAAAACGTATACAAGTATGTGAGAATTTTTGGCGTATATATTGCCCAATTGTCTTTGCTGTAGTTTGTTATCAATTTTCTCTCCTAATGGCAGTATCTTTCTCCATATTCTCATCAGCTAAGAGAATAGGTGGTTCCAAAGATGGTAGTCTTCTGCTGTTTCTTATTATCTAATTTTAAAAGTTTATTCCCGATTAAAAAAAAAAGCTCATCCTATTTGCAAATCACTCGAGAACTCCAATAATCAAAATTGTCACATGGCATGCATATCATGCTATAATAAAGAACCTAATATGCCAGATAGCATTTCATCCACAAGTAAAGCCGCAATAATAGAACCACTGAATAATAATGACACAATGCTGTTGGGATATTTCTAGATGCATTGATATAGGAGGTAGGACTCTCCCAATGGCTTTTAATAATAAACCCTTTTGTTTTTCCAATTTTCAAATATACTCTGTAGTGCATTTACTTTGTTCATGAATCTAAATTTTTTTTTAATCTGAGTATTTTTTAAAAAGTCCTTAGACACTTAAAATGTGTCCTACATAAAAATGTTGTTCTTAACAAACACAATTCAAATGGATAAGAGCATGACAAATTAAGACAAATTTCTTATCTTGTAGCTAGTTGAATTAAATTTACAAGTGACTACAATTATATAGCTCTGAACATGATGAAATTGCCAAACATGGGATCAATACCTCAACAGTGCTTTTTAGTTCTCCTTCTCTGATCACCAGAAAAATTAGTCAGCCAATGTATCTGCAACAAAGCATCATTTTAATAACTGAGCTACCAATTCAGTAGACACTATATGCAGCAAGTGATACTTAACAGTCTTAGGGAATGTATTTCATTCTACTCACTTCTACTCTTTTTCTAAGGCTATCCCTCTTAACCTGTCATGACATAAGTACTTCTAAGAGTCCATGAAAAGTATCATGCTTACTTATATTGTCCGTGTTACAACAATCATATTATGCCAGAAAAATACTTTTAGGTTAAATAAAAACTATTTGATAAAAAAATTATTTGAAATGTTAAATTTCTGGTTATTCAGTCAGGTTCTAATTTCTATGCCATATTAAATTATTTATTTATTTATTTATTTATTAATTTTTGAGACAGAGCCTCACGTTGTCTCCCATGCTGGAGTGCAGTGGCGCAGTGTCGGTTCACTGCAACCTCTGCCTCCCAGATTCAAGCAACTCTCATGCCTCAGCCTCACAAGTAGTTTGGATAACAGTGGCTTGCCACCACGCCTGGCTAATTTTTGTATTTTTAGTACAGACGGGGTTACTCCATGTTGGCCAGTCTAGTCTCAAACTGCTGATCTCAGGTGATCCACCTGCCTCAGCCTCTGAAAGTGCTGGGATTACAGGCGTGAGCCACTGTTACCAGCCCCATATTAAATTATTATGTGAGAGCATCTCTGTCCCCATAAGTAGGCTTGATTGCCAGGATACTCAAAAGAATAGTTTCTCTGGCAGGAATTGGAAACATTTGTCCAACTTTAGATGATTCATACTCTGGAGAACACAGGGGGTTAACTCTAAATGTTTCCTTTACACTGATTGTTGTTTTGTCAGGGCCTCTTTAGTGTTAGAAGAAAAGTGTCGTATGGAAATTGCTCTTTAACATTTCTGAAATAAAAGTGAAACAGGCTCTTTGCATTTCTGTTCCAGTCACTGAAGATTCTTAAAAACACACTGAACAAATAGGCTCATTCACCACCAATAAATAGCTGTTTCGAGTTCTTCAGGGTTCATCTTTGTATTTCCTTGGAACTCCCTCAAAATATCCATGGGAGTCCTGGCTTTCTTCCGAGAAGCTGTAATTTGCATGTGCGTTTCTAGAGTAATTTAAACATCATTGATTTAATCTCTCATAATAGGCCTTATTGAGTACAATAAGTTTATAGTTTACTCTAAATATGAGGTATGGTTATGAAGTAATAAGAAGACTTCAATTTTTTAAAAAAACAAATATACCAAACAGCTAAATGAGGCAGCATTCTAAGTTTTCCTTTTGGAAATAAATATATACTTACTCCAGGAATGCTGATATTGCACAAAATGTTTTGGGAATTTCTCTTTTGGAATTATATTTAAAGCTAAATTATAACTGATGCATTAATCAAACATTTTTAAGCAGGTAGTATTTTGGGATATAGGCTTGACTAAGATAAAATCTGGTCTCGATAAGCAGAGTGGGGTGGCTCACGCCTATAATCTTGACACTTCGAGAGGCCAAGGCAGGAGGACCTCTTAAGCTCAGGAGTTTGAGACCAGCCTGGGCAACATAGCAAGACTTCATCTCTGTTAAAAAATATATATATATATAAATATATATTTATATATATAAATAATATATAATATATATACACTTTTATATATAAATGCTATATCTATATAAATACTATATCTATATAAAGTATATATATACTATATAGTATATATAATTTTATATATAAATACATCTATATATATATAAATAAATTATATATGTTATATATAAATACTATATATATGTGTGTATATGTATTAAAATAATATAGGACAGGTGCGGTGGCTCATGCCTGTAATCCCAGCACTTTGAGAGGCTAAAGCAGGCAGATCACCTGAGGTCAGAAGCTCAAGACCAGCCTGGCCAACATGGTGAAACCCCGTGTCTACTAAAAATACAAAAATTAGCTGGGTGTGGTGGTGTGCGCCTGTAATCCCAGCTACTTGGGAGGCTGAGGCATAAGAACTGCTTGAACCTGGGAGGCAGAGGTTGCAGCGAACGGAGATTGTGCCATTGCACTCTAGCCTGGGGGACAGAGTGAGAATCCATCTCAATAATAATAATAATAATTAATTAATAAAAATAAAAACATATATTAGGCATGGAGACGCTCACCTGTGGTCCCAACTACTCAGGAGGCTGAGGTGGAAAGATCACTTGAGTCCAGGAGGTTGAAGCTGCAGTGAGCTAAAGCCTGGGGATGGAGCAGGACCCTTTTTCAAAAAATAAATAAATAATAATAAATTTAAAAGGAAGAAGAAAAGAAAAAGAAAAAATACTATTACATTTTTGTGTATATATTGTCTGTTTGTCAACCCAAAGCAATATACCCAGCTTAGACATCTGTCTTGTTTATTTGATTTAGTGTGCTCTGATTATTGTTATTTCAGAAAAACAAGTTCATCATTCAAAACAATTTGCTGAGGCATTCCTTTTGGATAAGAGATCCTGGTTAATCTGCATTAAAAAGTCAGTCACATTAATAAAGTTTAACGCAGTTCATCTAGTGTCTGAAGTTTCTACAATTTGGAGATTAACATTTGGTGCCTCAATGCAATGACCCTTTCCTGGTTGCTCCTCTGAAAGTTACTGCCTGTAGGTAGAGCGTAGTTGCACTGAAGAGTCATGAAGGACATTTGAATCAATGTCAGTGGAAAAGAATACTGAACATAGAATGTCTGTCGCTCTTGTTTTAAAACATCTCTGTGAGTGACAGGCAGAATAGAGGAATGTATAGAAATTATATAATCTAATTATGTATTTAAAACTTCTTAAACTTTGAAGAGTATTTGAGGAGTTGAGGAAACACCTAAGCTCAAAACTTAATTTATCAGACAGTCAAAGATATTTTCTCACACTGTGTTCTATACTGTCTTAGGTGTATCACAAGCTTTCCTTCCTTATGTTCTCGACAGCATGCCGGATATGAAAGGGTCAGCTAAGATAGTACTATACATTTTTATGTTTATTTTCTCTTTTACATAAGGATATTGTGTAAGGAATCAGATTTTTTTCCCCAATACTCACTTGTTGTTATTTCTTCTCATTTCTTACTGCTGTGTTACGCAGAAATTGCAAATGTTGATATTTTCCATTATACAATGTTATTATGCATCCTGTAAAACTCCACTGTACTCTCATGGGATGTTCAGAATGAATAAGGCTATGAAGTTTCAGTATTATTATGAAAATAGTTTCTATCTTGTGGACCCCTAAAATGCTCTTGGGGACCCACATACATGCTCGGATGACAGATTGAAAGCCACTGTTATAGATACTTTACTAGGAAAAAAGTCCCTTAATAACTAAATGAATATTTTTGCCGTTATTCACTGATATAAATCTAAATTATGGCATAGTTTTATGTGATATAATATATTTTAAAGAAGTAGCTTTGAAAGCAGAACTGCAGCTGCATACCAAAGTTTGCAAATCATCTTGAAAGTCCCTGGATTTCGTTTGGGATGGATATGATTAGACCATTTAGCTCCACAAATTTAAATCATCAAAGAAGTTTTGTGTCTGAAAAAAAAAACAGAAAAATTAATTCCTTTCCTCTGGTTTCTCATCATGTGACTTTGAAAGTATAATTATAACATGTTTGTTATATTTTTGCCCTGGTCTACTAATTTACTTCATTCTAACAGAATCATGACACTATTGTAGAACAGTTTGCCACTGAATGATTTTTCAATTTTTGCTTCTATGAAATTTTATCTTTAACTGGTTAGTATTTTTGTATATATGCATTCATGCATCTATATAGATGAATATTTCTATATTCATATGTTGAAATACATGGAATCCAAAATTCCAAAATGGTAGTGTTTAATTTTCTGTTTTATACAGGATCAAGTTACTGAAAGCACAGACTTTTATCTTATTTAGATGCTGGGTAAGCCATCACTTCAATTCTTCCTATGTCCTTAAGTTCATTTTGGGAGCATAATTACCACATAAACTGAGTTGGAAAGTTTGAGAAAACAAATTGAATTGTCCTTGGCTATATTCTCCATTATTCGATTTTTTTCTTTTCATTTCTATTCTGAAGTTGCCTACTTAGTAAGTACTAACTAGATTTTGTTACAACATTTTATTTTACATAATAATTTATTTGGCTTTTTAGATCTGTGACTCTGCCATATTGATGCCAGATATATTCTATACAACTTTGTTTTGTTTGATTTCATTTTTGTTTTTTTGTTTTGTTTTGTTTTGTTTTTTTTGAGATGGAGTCTCACTCTGTCGCCCAGGCTGGAGTGCAGTGGTGGGATCTCGGCTCACTGCAAGCTCTGCCTCCCGGGTTCACGCCATTCTCCTGCCTCAGCCTCCGGAGTAGCTGGGACCACAGGGGCCCATCACTACACCCGGCTAATTTTTTTTTGTATTTTTAGTAGAGACGGGGTTTCACCATGTTAGCCAGGATGGTCTCGATCTCCTGACCTCGTGATCCGCCAGCCTCGGCCTCCCAAAGTGCTGGGATTACAGGTGTGAGCCACCGTGCCTGGCCTGTTTGATTTCATTTTAAGGATAAGGCAAAAAAAGAAAAGTGGCTAAGCAAGTGGTTAAAAGCTAAGAGGTTAAATATTTCCTTTCAGGTAACTCCAATCTAAGAACATAAATAACAGAAAACAGGAGCCTTTGTTCTGTAACATTTTCAAGAACCAAAAAAACCATGCTTATCAAAATTGGTATAATACAAAAGACACATATTAATTTGATAAGTAATATATGTCGCATGTCATTTATACCTAAATGAAAAAGGTAATAACAAAATATCTAATTTGTGTCCTTCATATAGTAACAGTATTTTAAACTGTGAACCAAAAAAAGTCAACTACGAATTTATTGCCTCCCCTTATGATCAATATGAATATGCCTGCATGTAGCATCAGAAAATACAGCCACTTATTCAATAACTAGAAAACTCTCAAAGGTTCAGTGATTTTAATAATTAATGTTGAATCGACACTTAATGAAAAGTCTAGTACTTTCTACCCATCTATTTCAGAGAGATGAGTAGCATGAACATTTAAACATGTAAAAAACAACTATCCAGGTTTATGTGGTGAAAAATTACAACTATAATTGTGAAGTGGAACACAGGAGCACACAAGTAAAGGCAGAAAAGTAAAATGAGGAATGCAGGCAGTCTGTAGAGAATGCAATTTTATATAGGATCGTCAGAGAAATTGGTAAAATGACACTAGAGCAGAAAATGGGTTTGAATGAAGGAGCAAATACTGAGGCTAAAGAAACATTAATTTTGCTTTCACTAATTTTCAATTGAATAGAATAATTTTAATAATTGCACTGATTCCAAGAGGCCCACCTTGCAGGAAGACAATGTAAGTCATTAGATTAATTATTTAGCTCAGACTAAATGTCAAGCTAATAGTAACTAGTCCTCTTTTTCTATTGGTGATGCATGCCTTTAGTCCCAGCTACTCAGGAGGCTGACGTGGGAGGGTCGCTTGAGCCCAGGAGGTCAGGGCTGCAGTGAGCCTTGATTATGCCATTGCACTTTAGGCTGGGGCAACAGAGTGAGATTTTATCTCAAAACAATTATTAGAATGAATTTAGTATTATTTCTATCATTTCAATTGCAAATTGTCAGTATCCCCTGCTACGTTTCTACTAATTTACCATCGCTTCTTCAAAAAATTGTGTTCAGAGTGCTACAATTTCAGACTTTGAAATGAATCACTATAACTTTTAAAAATTAGAGATTTTAAAAACTGGAGATTGAATATATATAAAAAATACAAAATTTGACATTTAAAACCTCATTGAACTTTTAAAAAAGCCAGACTCATATTAAGGCACACACACACACACACACACACACACACACATATATATATGTATGTATGTATATAGACTTACTCCCCGATGTTTGCATTATTTTTGTAGAAGATAGATATCATACATCAGATTACTTAGTTTTTACACTGTTTCATGAGAGTCCGAAAGTAACATAAGCATTATGAGTTTGTTTTTTATTTCCTGGTTAGCCATTATAATAATTTGGAATATGGAGATTTTCCTGTATTTCAAGTAATGCTTAATCATTTCACATGATGTTGAAAGATCTCAAAAGTTCGAAGAATGAGGTTTTGCTACCTAAAGGATCATTTATCTCTGATCTCTTGTGGCAATCAACATTTGCTGAAACTATTCTCTCAGTGGCGCTGAGATTTGAACTGCTGGGGATAAGACTAGATGCTTCCTTTGGGAGCCTTCTTGGATCACCCTTCACCTTGTTGTCTGCAGTGAATGAATTTTAGTCCTTGACAATACATAGATGCTAAATCTTTTAGCCAAATAATTTATCTCTATAGTTCCACTTTTAACCTGAGAAGCTAATATTTCCCTCCAGGTTAAATACTCAATTACTTGGGTTTACTCAGATAAACTCTCCAAAGTCCTTTGTCACTCTAAATATGACCTGACAAAGCTCAAAAACAGGAAATGTGAATTATAACCAGCAAACCTTTCCTAAATTGGCAGGCAGAGATTTGTACATATAATTACAGAAACATTTGGCAGCTATGTGATATTATGCCTCAATACCCAGAAATTTCAGCAATTACACTCCTTCTCTTTAGAAATCAGAACTTGAAGCCCCGTAACCCATACCGCATGAGCTGACTTCAGTTAAGCTCCTGAAAAATTCAGGCTTTTAGCCACATGTCTCATTGAACTGTCTAAATTCATCGAGCTTAGGGAACTGAATTGCAGAATCTTTCAAGAACAGGGTTACCGTGTGATTCCTCATCTAACTGCTGTATCTAGGCAAAGTGGACAAGGTTTTAGACTCTCAACTAATCCTGGAGTGGAGTTTAGCAGTTATGTAGTGCCTTTTTCCAGAGAATCACTAGCATCTTTACCTGTAGCACTTTATTCATCTCCTTTACCTTTTCTGTAAAACTCTATAGACGTAAATCGAGGTGACACCCATGTGGATATGCAATTTATTCCAAAGTTAGTCTTTCTTTAAGAGTCCAAAATAATTAACATTGAAAATGTCAGCATCCTTGATACTCATGTAGGTTTAAGATAGAAAGTTCAAAGAGCTATGGTCATAAGTCAGCAAAGCTGTTAAGCTGTTAGATAAAACTGAATGTAAAGTCAAATTTTATATAGTCCATGACCCTGTTTTTGAATGACAAGACAGCTGTGCAGAGAGGTTAAGACACCTGGCTAAAATTAAACAGGAAGGTCAAAACTGAGGCCAGAAACCAAGACTCCTGATTCTTATTAAACTTCAGAATCCAAATGGAGCAAATGACTAAACTTACCCTGTACCTCCAGTTATTTAGCTATACATAGATGAGAAGTCAGCACTTGGAGGAACTGGCTGAAGGTTTGGCACTGGAGATGTAAGGAGCAAACATTAGCTTCTGATTCTGTTAAGTTTGAATTGGAAGTCTTTCTGAAATTGAGGTTTTAGATACACTCCATATGCTATGATTCTGGGCTTGCTCCAAGCAACTGGAAGCTTTTCTGAAATACATAAATATATCTTGGGAGCTTACATTAGGATATAGAGACCAGTAAAAGTAAATGCTTCATTTTAAATGTTTAAATATGGTTAAAAAACACATCTTCATAAATAATTGTTATAGTGACTAGCTGAGCTTTTATAATATTCTAAATGCCTAGTGTGGCACATCCCTCTAAAGCATCTACATTTTAAAAATGTCCTTCACATATATAAGCTAGGAAAGCAATTTCTAAACCAGAAAAAAATAACACTCATGCAATATGAGCTTGAATTTGTTAAGGTGGGAGGTGAGAAGGGAAGAGGAATTTTTGTGGTCACAATCAAGAACAGAAATATGCATACGCTCTGTGATGAATTACTTGTAGGAAACTTAGACTCCTATATATTCAATTTATTTTAGTTTGATAGTCTCAGAACTACAGATCCTCAGCTTAAATGCAGCAAGTCTTATTGTAAAGTGTGACTCAGTTAAAATTTATTGCCCCAGCTTCTTCTTTTAACCATATTTCAGAACCAAATTGGGCCCTCAAGGACTCTTATTCGTGTCTCTCTATGCCAATAATGTTTACGTTTTTGTAGCTGTAGACAGTGTTTGCTGTTGGAGCAAGCACTTGTATCTTACTAAAATGCTTGGTTACTTATACCTCCATTTAATAAAAAAATTGATGCTTAATTTATAAAGTTAATTTAAGTTTTACTAGCAAACTTAAATTAACAGGAAGTTATCCTAAAAAAGAAAAAGAAAAGGAAGGAAGATAGGAAAAAAGAAGAAAGGAGAAAATAAAATAAAACATAAAAAAATTCCAGAAGGGATATTATTACATCATCAAAACCCAAGTATTAGGAGATTGGCTCTGGTGAACTTGACCCCTGTTTTTCTATTAGTAAAGGTATAGCCTGTGACAGGGGTATAAAATATCCCTAGAAAGTTGATTTCACTTAGTCAATATAAAATCCCACATAATTTGTAGACCTCATGTGGATTACTTTCCCTTGATGATTGTACAACATTTAAAGCAGTAGTTCGCAAATGGGGATGATTTTGTTCCCCAGAAGATACTTGGTATTGTCTAGAGGCATTTTTGGCTGTCACAACTGGGGAGATGCTAATGTAATCTAGATGACAGCGGCAGAAGTGCTGCTAGATATCCTACAACGCACAGGACAGCCGTCACAGCAAAGAATGATCTCGGGTGAAAGGTCAACAGTGCCCTTCTAGAGAAACCTTGCCTACAAGGTTCCCATCATGTGCAAAGAATGGGAGTGGGGATCAAATGTTTCTCTCAGGTACTTTCTATTTTTTCCTGTCCATATTGGACTGCAAGATGCATGGGACAATATAGACTACACCATTTGTGAAAAAATGTGCAACAGACTAGCCATCTGTTATCAGGCCTCCTAGAATGTGAAACTTCAAGCTATCACAAACATAATGCAACAAATCATAAGTCTTGTGTGCCTGTTAAAATTTCATTTTCATTTGGTTTCAATTAAACACTTAAATTACTTACCACCCTCCACCCCAGGCTCTAAATTTCAAACATAGCCACTTTAGTTGTGATGTTCTATTTTCATTTTATTAAGACATCATGGAGTAAAATCATACATAGATGTATATCTCTAGAAGATAAATATATCAGATATTTTAGTCAGTATATAAGTCTTACCCTTGTGTAATTTTTTTAATGTTTTAACATTTTACTTAGCCTCATTCTACAAAGGGGTAACGTCCATGTGTGTAGACTAAAATTATTTTTTAATTAATTGTATTTTTAGGTTGGTGAAGTAGCTACAACATTAATATTGAAGCAGTTGATGTAGAATGTGTATTGTTTATGGAGTCAAATGAAAATCTTTATAGCATTCTACGAACTCTAAAACACATAATCCATACAACATCCTGTGACATATTTTTGTAATTCTACAGATACTCTAAAAAAGTTGATGCTCAGTGAATCTTATACTAACTATCGTTGTGGAGTTCTTAAAATGTATTAATGTAACAACACTATTAAATAGTAGCATAAGAAAAAAGAGGACATTAGAAAGCAGTATGATTTAAGAAAATAAACTATTATGTTTATATTGGCTCATTCACATTCACATATATTATGAAAAACTAGATTTAACTCATTATCAACTGAAAATGAACTGCACCTTTAAAATGCACAAAATTATCAGAAATCTTTAGAAAAATCTACTTTCCCAGGTCCACAAAATAAATCATTATTCTCACTTGACAGAACAACGTGCTTTTTTGCAAGCAACAAAGTTTTGTAAACAGCAGAGGTAGAAAATAAGACATACTTTAAACTGGGGGAATACAGTGGTGAAGGGGGCCAGGTGGTTATTCCTCTGGACATCCCAGATTAGGCAGGATAATAAAGCAGTAGAAAGATCACAGAGGATGGAATGACCAACTCTTGCTGGAAGACTCCTAAATGTTCACCCAAAGAGTTTACATTTGACCAAGATGTTCAGATAAGAACTTTACCCAGTTACAGAAAAAAGGAAAAAAAGCCTCCCAAAAAGAAAGACCATGTATTTGGGAAGATAGCATGCTCACAGGGGGAATTCAATTAAGATCAGTGAGCATCTGTTGAATGCCTGCACTGCACATTTGCCAAGATAATACCAAGATAATACTACAGAGAGCAAGAAAACTGCTCTCTGTAGTGAATGTGTATTGTTTATGGAGAACATAGTTTCATGTGAGTTAATACTCCTTATCTTCAGCTTTATAATCTATTCAGTTTTTCATAAGCTTATGATTTGAAATAATGGTTCGGGTTTACTATTTTTATTTGTTGCAATTGATATGACAGGCACTACTGCTACTACTTTTACTAGTGTAGAACATAAAGAGTTTGAAACTACAATGAAGAATTTAAAGAGTTTATGAGAATGTATGTATCTATCTTTTCTTAAATTCCATAATAATTTTGCTCGTTTGAAATTTCACCTGTAGTTTGATTTTTTTTTTTACTTCAAATTAAATGTGTACAATGTTGGTTTATTATTCTTTTATTTTTAAAGCCAGAGCAATTTGATATTATTTGCTTGCCATAGAATAAGATAATTTTTAAAAATTTCTTTTTATCTGATTTAGTATTAATTGCTAAATTTGAATTGTACTTTGTAGTTAACAGTGAGCTTTCCCTTGTAGCATCTTTTAATAAATTTGTTATATTGACAGTAAATGTAACAATTAAAGGGAATTGAAAGGAAGGAACAGGCATAACATTTATTGAATGCTCTATTAAGGAGCAGACACTTTTTAAATGGCTTTATATATATTATAAATTCATGACAAATGACAAAATTTTCTAAATAATAATATATAATTCTCAATCATCTTTATTCTCTTCCTGTTTCCCTCAATGATGGATGGCATCATTTACAATATGGTTAGATAGAAAAGAGATAAGAGTCTTGAATCTGTGATTATTTCATTATTGGAGCTAAACTAATCCGTCTAATAAGCTACCTATTAGCAGATAATGGAAATTCTCTAATGAAAAGGCTAAATGTTTCATGAATATTGAATACATTCTGGGCTAAACAGCTAACTCTTGGCCAGGTGCGATGGCTCACACCTGTGTAACACCAGCACTTTGGTAGGTGGAGGTGGGAAAATGACTTGAGGCCAAGAGTTAGAGACTAGCCTGACCAACATGGCAAAACCTTGTCTCTATCAAAAATCCAAATATTAGCCAGGCTTGGTGGCGCACACCTCTAATCCCAGCTACTAAGGAGGCTGAGGCACAAGAATTGCTTGAGCCTGAGAGGGGGAGGTTGCAGTGAGCCGAGAACGCACTGCACCACCGCATTCCAGACCTAACTGTCTATGGACTTCAACACTAAAATTGGGCAAAGCAAATCACTTATTCACATCTTCTTCTAAAGAAAGAGTTTAAATTAGCCCCAGCTCTTCTTTTAGACTGAGTTGTTTGGATATCATATATAAAAATATAAATTAAGAGTTTTTCATTAAAAATAAAAATAAATATGTTTACTTCTAAGTATATAAGCTCAATTAACTGTGACCTGGGACAGAATCTGGCCAGCGAGGAAAAGAACTGGTACACCAAAAGTTGATCAATAGTAGTATCTGGATAAATTACGGAAACATTTAAAGCACTGCACCCTGGTTTCATTGTTGAACTGATTGAATGCCACTTAATTTTTGAGTGTTTGTAATAACATGTCCAAAATAAAATGAAAATAAATGAGATTGCCCCACTTCCTTATGCTTTCCCACAAGGGCAGCAACTGAACCCTTGATATAGTTAAGAGACAAAAAGGAAAAGTGTAAATCAAAAACCTGAATGACACAAGTGAAAAGACCATACCTACATTTCCAAAGCTAGCAAAACTTGTAGCAAGAGGCCTTTGCCATTTCACAGGTATCTACTGCACAATGTGGCCAAGATACTTTTCCAAGGTACCACAGTGAGCTAAGAGCCAGAATATTTTGTTAAAAATTAGTACGAAGGTAAAGATAGTATAAAGGTCACCTGATCAGCAAGTATGTTACATTGAAAGGTTTAAAGTTGTCATTCTAACAATAATATGTGTGTGTGTGTGTGCAGGCTACAACAATTACAAAACACAACCAGAAGAGCAGAATTGAAAATTTAAGTTTTTCTTATTAAAATAAATTACTATACATTTTTCCAAACATGCATCCCATTTGTTTAAATTTTAAGCATTTTAATAAGATTTACACAGGTTACACAAATAGACCACATGTAATTGGGAAATATTCTGGAAATAATTTGCTTGAATCTGTAACCATGTATTTCATTAGAGAACATACTGTATAAGTCCCAGGCAAGTTAAGAGATTCAGGTGAGTGAAGCTTTCCTTGAAGATATGATCATGCGACCACAGCAGATACCTCTCCAACATTATTATGTCTGTATTTACAACAGAGCAAAAGAGGATTCTCCTTCCAAGCTTAAGCAGAAATATGGCTCTGTTCTTCCTAAAAATGATCACCTTTCAGTATATCATTATTTTAAGAAATTCTATTAATCTCAATGCTCTTCTCTCTGGAAAATGGTGAAGAAACACTTAAAATGAAACAACTCTTCTGTGTTTCTTTTTAACCCTGATTGAATTAACCAAATAAATACACTTCTCTTTCATGGCTGTCATCAACCTATTGTTTTTTTCTTATGACTCTATTTTAATTTCAACTAGAGACCATGGTAAGGCAACAAATATCTGGGCCTAATATTTTCTAAATAGGTACAAAGTTTTCAGCATAGAAAGGGCTTTTTTTTTTCTTTTTTCTTTTTTTTAGTGCCATTTAAGTACACTTCACAATTTCAGTATTACTGAAAGTATACTGACATGATCCTTTCAGTATAAGTATACTTATATACCTTCAGTAATACTGAAAGTATACTTATACGCTTTCAGTAATTTGGTTCTGGAAAAAGAGAAGTAGCAAAGGCAGTTAGAAAAATGACAAGTGTCTATAACAGACCTAAGATATTTAATTGAGATTTTTAAGATACTGTACCTCCCTTGTCCTATGAATACAGCTCTGTTTGACTTTTGTTAATTCTCTGAGTTCTTAAGAAGGAGAAAGTAGGCCCAATGATTCCATTTGGCATCCTGAGTAGATTCTGTTCAATGCCACATGTCTAAGTCCACTTTTGTCGATGTCAAGGGGTAGTATTTGAAATTTTGAATTATAAAAACATAAACTTGATCTAGGCATATGTAGATGAGTGCTTTGGGAGTTTTAGTGCACGTTGCACACTGTAGTTTATCTCCCTAACTTCCGAGGCTATCTTTTCTCTGGCTCCGGTCTCTCCAATTTCATTTGTTTTACTTCATCAGTAGAAACTGTCAACTATTCTTCACCTGGTAGCTTCTTAGGAAGGTTGCGCTCACTGTGTGTCTTTGCAGGCTTATTCTTCCTGCTGATGGTGTTTTTCCATTTCCTCAATTCTCTGCACTGTTTCTTGCATTCTTCATGACTGTGTAAGCTCTACCTTTTCAAAGAGCTTCTGGCAGTACTCTCCCTGAACAGCTCATTTGTGCCAAAACACCAAGGAGAAGTGCTCAGTTTTACTGAGTTAGTTCCAATCTTATCACTCTCCTAGCCAGGATAAAGTTTCCCAAGTGCATCTGTGATTAAATAAAAATTTGACATTTTAGCTTCCTCTTCCATTATATTTCTTCACACAGGAAACTGTTCTTCTAGAACATACAGTTTTCTCCTCTGTGCTTTGATTTATGCCATTTGCTCAGAATATGAGAGTATTGAGCTAACATTTATTGAGTCCTTACTATGTCCTAGGAAGAAGACTAAATATTTTACTGAAATTTGTCGTTTAGTCCCACATAAATACTCTGAACCAGGACTATTACATTCTCAATAACAGATGAGGACAGTCCTGCACAACAAGGCTTAGAAACTTGTCCCCTAAATTGCTAATCCATTTGTGTAAAGCACTATATTGCCCCCTTGAGCATCACTTCAAATCCAGTGGCATGCTATGAGGTCCGATAGAAATCGGTCACATTTTGACGAACACGGCTTAAGATTTTGAGGATGTGAGTTCTTTCTTTGAAATATCCATCCCTTTTTTCTTATATCAAATATTGTACTTATCTTTCAAGTGACTTCACTTGAAATTGAGGTCACTTAATTCATAAGTGCCCTCCTCAGTCTCTCTAGTGAGAATCTTGGCTCCACGTTCCACATTACGGTGGCTTTCACTACTGTCTTTCTACTCAGGGTAAGTTCCATGGACCAGCATCACATGGAGATTGTTGGAAATGCAGACACTGGCTACACACTCAACCTCCTGAATCAAAATTTTCATTTTACTGGGAGTAAGCTGTATATGATTTATATGCATTATAAAGTTTGAAAAGCAATGTGCTAGATACCTATTTCGTTCTGTATCTAGTTTTTCAGAGTAACTCATTATTACTCCTGTTTGCCTGACACTTACGAAACAAAAGAGCCAGTATGTTATTTATCAGTTTCACCCAAATTAACTAGCATAATACTTCCTATATGGTTGACAATCAGTACATCTTTATTAAATGTATTTATTGAACTAAGAGCAAATTCCATAGACATTACACTTTTATATCTCCCATAACTTATAAAAGCAATATTATTTTCCTCTAAATTATAAGTTCTGGGAATGTAATTATTATGTCTATCTAATTTATATGGTGCTTGCCTACTATCCAGAAGACACTTCAATGACTAATGATGAAGCACACAGTAAATTAATCAAGATGATTATTGTGTTGAAGAGAGTTTTTTAAAATATAATTTTATTTTGAGTTTATTTAGGTAACAAACACCTGTAAGTACTTATGTGCCAGGGAGTGGTCTAAGTTCTTTACAAATACTGACTTATTCACATTCTGAACTTCGATTGCTTGGTCAAGCATAAATCTAGGTTAAATCAATAAAAGTTGATTTGTGATACCTCTTTTAATTCTAATACATGTCATGTCACATCTGCTTCAGGTTGTTTTGTTGCAGATGATTAATTAACCTGCCATAGTTGATATAAAATGTCAATATTTAAGCAATTTTCTTTTTTATATATAATTTCAAAATCCTTCCAAATTATTTGGAAGTAAAATTTGCTGTAAATGGTATGCTACTTCTGCTTGGTATTGAAATAGAATAACATCAAAATGTTTCACAGAAATGCATATTCCATTTCAGAACAGAAATACTATGAGAAATTCTGTCCGGTTTCAGATTATGTTATGTATATTATATGTTCTATGCATTGCTGATTTATGTAGACATGATTTTATATTCAAAGGGAGGGAAGATCCCAATCAGGTGGACATCACCAGAAGCTATAGCCTACCGCAAGTTCACGTCAGCCAGCGATGTATGGAGTTATGGGATTGTTCTCTGGGAGGTGATGTCTTATGGAGAGAGACCATACTGGGAGATGTCCAATCAGGATGTAAGTATTTGTGGTCTATGAGTTATGAGTTCAGATGAAAAGATCAAGCTGTGCAAGGAAGTGGAACATAATGTAACTGGGTGGCTCCTGGTTTATAACACTGAAATAAAATATTTAGCAGCAATGAAACTGTTTCCAAGTCTTGCAAGGATATTATATTAATTGAATTGTTCTTACAGATTTACATATTTCCCTCAAGCAAGGGTTTAGAAATAAGACAAAAGAAACATTTGTAGTGAAAACGTAATGAAAAAAGTGACCAATAAGATAACCTCTAGATTCTAATGCACATTGAAGTTTGAAAGTCACTGCTTTACACCATTGAAAAGTACTAATGAACTAATAGTTACTTAATTTTACAGCACTTAGGATTTTACAAAAAAAATTACTATAATTTGGAAGGCACCATTTGAACTGCAGTATAACTAAAACCTGTATAGTAATTTTGTCCATATTCATTCATATATGTTTTCCATAGAGAACTATATAACCAAATAATAATTTCTTTATAACACCAAATTTGCTCTATCATTTAACATTTCTTTTTATTTTAACCCAAAAAGGATCTTTACATACTCTTTCCTAAATTTATGTTATTTCAATCTTCCTTTATATAATATTTTAGGCATACATAACGTCTTATTTATTTGATCAGTTGTTATCCTTTTAGGCAACTAAAAATGAGAAGTTTTCCCACTTACCTTTAAAATAAGCATATTTGTGAGCCCCGCCCATGAAAACGTAAACTAAGTGACACTTCCTGAAAACTTCCTGGTTCCTGAAAACTTTGCTTCTCACACAGGTAATTAAAGCTGTAGATGAGGGCTATCGACTGCCACCCCCCATGGACTGCCCAGCTGCCTTGTATCAGCTGATGCTGGACTGCTGGCAGAAAGACAGGAACAACAGACCCAAGTTTGAGCAGATTGTTAGTATTCTGGACAAGCTTATCCGGAATCCCGGCAGCCTGAAGATCATCACCAGTGCAGCCGCAAGGTGACACATTCAATTTGTTATCTGGCATTCACTCTGAAATTTGTGTTTGCTATCTCCAAGATGTTAATTTTTTTAGCCCACCCCCAAAATGCATTATTTGAAGCTTGTATTCCACCATATTAGAGAGATGTATTTCCCCTTTCTTTTTTAATCTTTAGAACTAATTCTCGTCCTCCTTAATAGTAATGATGAAATTCTGAGATATTTTTTAACATCTATCTTGACTCTACATTCAGGCTTGTTTAAGTCTTTGGGAAATAGGAATACTGGAGGGGTGCGGTGGCTCGTGCCTGTAATCCAAGCACTTTGGTGGATCACTTGAGGTCAGGAGTTCGAGACCAGCCTGGCCAACATAGTGAAATGCCGTTTCTACTAAAAATACAAAAATTAGCCTGGTGTGGTGGCAGGCACCTGTAATCCTAGCTACTCGGGAGGCTGAGGCAGGAGAATCTGTGAACCTGGGAGGCAGAGGTTGCAACGAGCTGATATCATGCCACTGCACTCCAGCCTGGTCAACAGAGCGAGACTCTCTCTCTAAATAAATAAATATACTGAACACATACTTCTTTTCACCCTTCATGAATAAAGAAGTCCTGATTCATCTTTCATTCAAAATAAAGAAAAAGAAATTATCCAAAATATTGCACTGGCTAGCAAAATGCAAATTTTCCCCAGTTAATTAAACAAATATTTGTCTAGTCTATATTGCGTATCAATTACTTTGCTAGACACCATTGAAGATAAAACTAAGAGTAAGATAAAGCCAGTGTCCCTGGACAACAACACAAATGTTAATACTCTGCAGCTGTAATGCAATCCTGGATGCACAAAGTCTATTTAATTTTATGCATATTCTTTTAGGTTAAGAATCACTGAGTTCTCTCAGTGGTTAGAACAATGTAAATTAAAGTGTATCTACAAAGTACAGTGGAAAAAAGAAGGAAGAAGAGATGAATTTTGTCAGGGGCCATATAAGAAGAAAATAAATATTAATATATTTGGTGCCTCTCAGAGTAATTAAAGGCAAAGATATCTTGTTTAATAATTTTGATTCTCATTGTAAGCATAAGAAAAAAAGGTTCTTTTACATTTTGATAATGCATTCTCTTACAGGCTTTTAATTTTTCTCTCTGATTTATCACATGAGTTAGTACATGTTTTATACTTTTGAAACATTCCTCTTGACAACTATAGAGAGAAGCATTTCAGACCTATTTGGGACCTCTAGCTATGTGCCTACTCAATGGCTTGGACTTGTGAGTTCAATAGTATCTTGATTGGTACAATGGAGTTTTATCAGTAACGATGACTTGTGGGTCATTCTGCCTTCTTTGCATAACCAGTTGCTTCTCAATATCGCTTCTCAACTGTGTTAGTTTTGGGTCTCAATAATAGTATCCCGCCCTGTTGTTTCCATTGCTACAAAGCTTAGTGACTAAAGCTGGCGTTCAATGCATGGGAAATTCCTTGCATTTTGTCTTAAGTTATCTGTTTGAAGATCAAGCAGGGCGTGTGTGTGTGTGTGTGTGTGTGTGTTTGTGTGTGTGTGTGTTGGTGAGTGAATATGTAGGTACATTACAAGTTTGATTAACCATGCCTTAGTATCATATTTTTGTGAAAAAAATCAATCATATTTAAAACAATATTTTAAGATGTCTAAAATCAATGCCCCTGAAATCCACAGGGAATAAAATAGCAAAATTTTAACATATAAACGTTTTTTATCCATTCTTCTGTCAGTGGATACCTATGTTGATTTCATATCTTGGCTATTGTGAATAATGCTGCAATGAACATGGGAATATAGATATCTCTTTGAAATACTGACTTCATTTCCTTTGGCTATATACCCAGAGTGGGATTGCTGGATCATATGGTGATTCTATTTTTAGTTTTTTGTGGAACCTCCATACATTTTTCCATATGGCTGTTCCAATTTACATTCCCTTACATGCCAATGTTCCCTTTCTCCACATCTTCACTAACAGTTGTTATCTTTTGACTTTTTGATAATAGCCATCCTAACAAGTGTGAGGTTCTAGCTCATTGTGGTTTTGATTTTCATTTCTCTAATGACTAGCGATGTTGAGTACCTTTACATAAACCTGTTGGCCATTTGTCTTCCTCAGAAAAAAATGTCTATTCAGGTCCTTTGCCCATTTTTAATAGGGGTATTATTATTTTTGCTATCAAATTCTATGAGTTCCTTATATATTTTGGATATTAGCCACCTATGAGATATATTGACTGTAAATATTTTCTCTTCTTCTGTGGATTGCCTTTCATTTTCTTGTTTTCTTTACTGTGCAGAAAATTTTTAATTTGATATAATCCCTCCTGTTTAATTTGGCTTTTGTTCCTATGATTTTGGTGTCATCTCTACAAAATTGTTACCAAGACCAGTGTCATAGAGCTTTCTTCCTGTATTTCCTGCTAGAAGCTTTACAGTATTAGGTCTTCAGTTTATCCATTTTGTGTTGATTATATTAAATGCACATTACCTGTTTTTTACATAATAGTTTAATAAGTTAAGTAGGAGAATCATAAACAAGATCTTAATATCAGTATATAAGAATCATAGATTATTTATTGATAATAACACTTAGTAGGAATCACTATGATTGAATTTAGTAATAAGTCCTTAAATAAAACTACCCATAACTTATTCCATAAGGATAAATATCTATCCCAAACTTCACAGAGACTGTATAGACTCTTAGAAATTCACCTGACAGTTTAACAACTAACAGGATAACAAACCTGTCCTTTCCTGGGCCATATGGTCCTCATTCTGTACCCTGAAGGCATTTATTTTGATCTTTACAGCATAGATAGTAATCACAGAAAAAAAAAGACTTTACCTATCATAAAAACATTCAAACCATTTTCAAAGCTAACTCATGTAATGTAATGTAATGTAGGGGTATCTAATACCAGTTTCACAGAGAAAAGTAGTCTTACTATCAGATCATAATATGTGAGGCTATGTCCTAGCATCCAAATTTTAACATACTTTCATAATTCACTTTTCCACTCTTATTGAAATATATCAAATACTTTTTCTTATATATTTTTCTTTAATACATGAACTAATTTGATGTATTTTGTCATAAAACATAATTTTAGAAAAAAATCAATATTTTCTATGAAAAGACAACCATCTCAATGTACAGAATATAAACATTTGGGCAATTATATTTATATTTTTACTTATTACCATTAAAATGCACGATGGGTTAGATTTTGTCATAATACATTTATTTTTAACAACCTCACATTACTATATGCAACTATGTCAAGAAGTTTTTTTCTCTTTAGAAAATTTGCTTTCCTACTTTTGACAATGATTATTTCATCCTTTTCATAACTGATTAAAATGACCTCCTTCTTTAATTTTTAGTGATGTCCTTGCCAAATGCTTTATTGAGAAAATAAGCCATTAGATGGGAACTTCCCACAGCAAAACAGAAATGTAGTGGCACCTGCACCTACCCATATCGTCCTTCTTTCCTCTAATTATAAAAGGCAGTGTCCCTCTATTTGTCAGAGGCTAATCCTCTACTCTTCCTCTCTCCCTGTCTCCCTCTCTCTCTTCTGCATATCCAGGCTCTTTTTTTCTGTAGGATCATTGCCACAAACAGATGTTCTATTATATTCTTTCTCATTATCTTATTCTTATCACCAGGGGAACCTATTACACATACAAATATCCAGGTCTATCCCAAGAATCTCCAGGAAAAGAGAATGGAGTTTGGATGTTTTATAAAAATGCCAGGTGATTTTTTTCTCCTCTGGAAAATTTAGGTGATATTGCTTGTCAATATTACCCCTGCTGGCCCCACATCTCTGCCAACTACTTCCCTACTTCTCTAACACTCTTCACAGCCAAACTTCTCAAATAATGGACTCACAGACATAAAGTCAATATTCTGAAAATTTATCAATTTTCTCCCCCTAGCCTGATCCTTCCACTGCCTAATTAATTGCATACACCAGCAGCTACCCATTCACCTAACCAGGAATTAGAGCAACTCTTGGTACCTCTTTCTTCCCCTCTACACTGTGATCATCTGGATCAATGAGATCTATCTCTATCCCTTTTCACTGAAAACACTCTCCTCATGGCTGTTTCGTCTTCTGACCTGGACCACTGCAATAGGCTCCTAACTTGTCCCCTGCTTTGATTGCTTTCAAACTCCAAACATTTTTTTTGCACAGCCTCCAGAATCTTCTTATCAAAACATATATGATATAGTTTCAGTCACCTGTTTATAATCAATATTGAATTCACGTTACACTTATAAAAAAATCTCCTTTTGGTTGTTTAAAAAGCCCTGCTGACTGGGTGGAGTGACTCAAAACTGCAATACCAGCTATTCAGGAGACTGGGGCTGGAGGATAACTTGTGGCCAGGAGTTGGAGACCAGTTTGGGTGTTATAGCAAGACCCCCATCCCTACAAATTTTTTTTTAAATGGGCCAGGCATGGTGGTGTTTGCCAGTGGTCCTAGCTACTCAGGAGGCTGTAGCAGAAGGATTGCTTAAGTCCAGGAGTTTGAGGTTACAGTGAGCAATGGTAACAACACTGCACTCAGCCTGGGTGACAGAGCAAGACACTGTCTCTTGAAAAAAATTATAAATTAATTAAAAAAGAAAATTTTGAAAAGTCTTGCTTCTCCAATGTTATTATCTTATTCAAATAAATTTTATTCGAAAACTATTTTTATATAATACAATGAGATGACTATAGTCAATAATACCTTAATTGTGTATTTTAAAATAAATGGTGTTTTCTGCCACTCTTGTAAACAACAGACAAGTACAGACCAGAGGAAGGAAATAAGTAAATGGCCGTGATGGGCGATAAAGGAATAGCTGCGAAAGAGTCTGAGGAGCTGATGTTTGAGACCTGCAGGAAGGGAATGAGCCAGCTGTGTAACCTCCTCCTCACCAAAAAGAATATTCTTGGCACAGGATTAAAAAATGCAAAAGTCTTGAGATGAGAAAGGGTTTGGAGAGTTCTAGGAAGTGGCAGAGAATAATATGACTGAAGGGAGTCTGTCATGAACCTAAGGAGGTAAACAGAAGCCAGAGCACTTGAGGCTACACAGGCCATGGTGAGGACTTTGAAATATTTTTCAAATGCATGAGGAATTCATTAGGCATCTGAACCAGAGAAGTAAGATGATTTGATTTATATGACTGCTTTGTAGAGGGAGGAGCAAAAGTATGAGGAGGTGGGGGTCATTTTAACCTTTCGACTTGTGCCACCTTCATCTAAACAATACTCTAACCTCAGTGGCTACTTCTAGTTCCTTCAGAAAACAAAAGCATTTCAGAAGATTGTAGCACATGCTGTTTGCCTTGTCTCAGATTCTCCTTTGCACCTTTCTTCCTTAAGGAAGCAACTTACACATCATGTATGTGTTGACTCATTCTGTGGCAGCACCAGTGAAATAAAGTTTAACATCATTATTCTTTTACAGAGCACCATATTCTCGTTCTTCATCACTATTTTAATTCTGTTTTCTGTGATTGTGTCTGTGTATTCTTTTTAACTATCCATTTTCTCAATAAACTCTAAGCCCTGTGAGAGCACACACCATGCTTCTCTCGTATTACCAGTGCAGATTGATAATGGGTGCTCTGTAAATGTCTCCTAAATACCTAATAAATATGTGCTGACATCATTAGTAAATTTACATTTCAAAAGATGCAATTTATAGAAAAAATTCCAGTGTTTTTCTGCTCTCTGAACAGATTTTTTTAATAGACATTGATCATATGGTAAAAGCCTAGACCTGTTCTCCTAAGCAAAATTCTGCATGTGTACCTTTCTGTCAACTCAACTCCAGAAATACACTCCTAAAAATTTAATAGGAGACTTCAAAACTGAATTCGTGGCTGGTACAAAGCATTCAAGTTTCTGAATGGTGTAGTTATTCAGATCAGTGCATAGAACTGTGTTTATACACGTACCCTGTAGTGTCTTTTAAGAAAAACAACATCATTCTGATAGAAATGATGTTTCTTCAGTCTTTCTGGATTTAGTACATTTTATGGTCAAATTTTATTTTTTTCTTGGTGGCTAAGTACCTTTTGAAACTAATTGTTTGAATTTAAAAACGTTGTTGCATATACCGCAATAGAAGTCTTTTTATAATGCATCATTTCACTTTTCAGCCTTCATTAGAGTTGATGATTTATAGCAGTACCATTCTCAAAGAATCTTCCGCTTAGAGTGTCTCCATGAATATCGTCACTGGAAGTGGGGAAGGTGGAAAAGCTGATGGTCAGGGTGGGCCAGATCAAACAATTACTTAGATGCTGCAAAGAATCATAATAAGGGAAGGACAGTTACATTAAACTTTGTGTTATGCTTGTTCCCTAGTAATTGATTGCTTTTTCTAAAAGTAGAGTAAATCAGAGGAGATGTGAGGGTTTTAAGTTTTGATAGTACATCAGTACAAGGCTACAGATGTTTATTCAACAATAACCGTGTGTGAGACATTATGTTAGGTCCTGTGATGATTATATAGGTACCAGATGTAGCTTCCATCCTCAACAGCTTACGTTTAAATGTGGAAGAAAAAAGAATATTTAGAACACTATAATACCCCTCAGAACATGTAATTATTAGAGCAAAAATAAAAGGAGTTCGGGAATCCCGAGGGGAGGTGAGTTTACTTTTATATTTGGAGTTTTCTGGTATTTGTATGCAAAAGGGACTTTTGGATAGTGGATGAAATTGAAATTTCTACAGGTAGGTAACAGGAAAACAGGCTGGGGGAACACTACAGAAAAGGGAAGACATGCAAATAGGTAGGATACTTCCAAATCACATCGCATAATACGGTTTTGCTAGACTATAGGATAAAAAAAGGAAATTATGGGGAAAAAGCCTGATAGATCAGGGATCCTCAGCCCCCGTGCCATGGACTGCTTCCAGGCCATGGCCTGTTACGAACCAGGTGGCAAAGCAGAAGGCAAACGGCGGGCTGGTGAGCATTACCGCCTGAGCTCTACTTACTGCAGATCAGCAGGGGCATTAGATTATCATAGGAGAGCAAACCCTGTTGTGAACCGCACACACGAGGAGTCTAGGTTATGCGCTCCTCATGATAATCTAATGCCTGATGATCTGAGGCAGAACAGTTTCATACTGAAACCATCCCCCACCACACCCCCATTCGTGGAAAAATTGTCTTCCATGAAACTGGCCCCTGGTGCCAAACAGGTTGGGGACCGCTGCGATAGATGATTCGTCAGGTGATGGAAGACTAAATGTCATTTCTAGACATTTGGGCTTTTATCCATAAGGAAAGGGGAGACACTGAAGTTACTGAAGTGATATGTTGCACTGTGTTTAGGGAATAGTTCTTTGGCAGCTACTTCTAAAAAGGGCTGGAGATGAAGGGATTCATACGAGAGAATTAAGCTTTCAATAGTCTAAGAAAAGGATCTGCTATGCTAGAGCAGGGAAAGTAGACAGTGTGTGAATTCAATATGTTTTATTAAAGTGAGTTCTATAGGACATAGTGACTGAGATGTGCAGAGTGACAGAGAAAGTATCAGAGAATACTTCCAGGTTCTGAATGTGGAGCCTTTGAGATCAGCCTTCTCATTGACAGTGGTAGGAAGAACAGAAGGAAGAACAGGTCTGCCATGCAGATAAGCATTCTTGGCAACAGTCAAGAAACTAATTTAAATGTTTGAATGCCTCCTGTTTCCATTGTATGTAACAAGGTGTAGTGGCAGCCAATCCAGATTTTAGGCACCTTGTAAGGGGGCTGTGGAGCCAATCAGTGACAGGAAATGGCAATACAAGAAGGAAAACAAATACGAAACATTCACTAATATCTCAGAATATTAACTCACTACGTTGACTGCCACCAAGAGAGAAAGAAAATTCCCTTTATTTTGAGCTTTGGAGAGCAGTGCCAGTTATATCACAGAAGAATGTGAAATGGTAGGTAGAAACGAGGAACAATCAGGGTGATAGGATGAGGTTTAGACTACTGCAGAAAACCACAGTGCAAGGCATTTCCAAAAAGTAGATTCAAACGGTATTAACAAAAGCTGAAAAAGGGAAAGAAAAACAAAAACTGAGGGAATAGACTTCCAGTTAAATAATAGAAGGATTTATAATCCATTGGGTATATACCCAGTAATGGGATTGCTGGGTCAAATGGTATTTCTGGTTCTATGTCTTTGTGGAATCGCCACACTCTCTTCTATAATGGTTGAACTAATTTACACGCCCACCAACAGTGTAAAAGCATTCCTATTTCTCTGCATCTTCGCTGGCATCTGTTGTTTCTAGACTTTTTAATGATCGCCATTCTAACTGGCGTGCACACGTATGTTTGTTGCAGGACTATTTACAATAGCAAAAACTTGGAACCAACCCAAATGCCCATCAATGATAGACTGAATAAAGAAAACGTAGCACATATACACCATGGAATACTATGCAGCCATAAAAAGAATGAGTTCATGTCCTTTGCAGGGACGTGGATGAAGCTGGAGACCATCATTCTCAGCAAACTAACACAGGAACAGAAAACCAAACACTGCATGTTCTCACTCATAAGTGGGAGTTGAACAATGAGAACGCATGGACTCAGGGAGAGGAACATCACACACCAGGGCCTATTGGAGGGTGAAGGGAAAGGGAAAGGATAGCATTCTGACAAATACCTAATGCATGTGGAGCTTAAAACCTAGATGATGTGTTGATAGGTGCAGCAAACCACCAAGTCACATGTATACCTATGTAACAAACCTGCAGGTTCAACACATGTACCCCAGAACTTAAGGTAAAATTTTAAAAAAGATAGAAGGAACATTGAGGTATTAAGAAAACTATTCTGAATTTTGGAATAATATATATTACATTGTGAGAGACCTAATTATAAAATTGGATAATGAAAAGGCAAGGCAAAACAAGAAGATGTGCATAAAAGAATGAAAACAAAAGAAGCTCTCCTCTCTTTTTTTATAAGAATCAAAGAAATGTTTCTTCTTTCTTCTCTTTCTCTTCCTCTTTTTCTTACTCTTTCTTTCTTTCTTTCTCTTTCTTTCTTCCCTTCTTTCTCTCCTTCCTTCTCTCCTTCCTTCTCTCCTTCCTTCCTTCCTTCCTTCCTTCCTTCCTTCGTTCCTTCCTTTCTTCCTTTCTTTCTTTCTTGACAGTGTTTCACTCTTGTCGCCCGGGCTGGCATGCAATGGTGCCATCCTCCGCCTCCTGGGTTCAGGCGATTCTCCTGCCTCAGCCTCCTGAGTATCTGGAATTATAGGCACTCCCCACCATGCCTGACTAATGTTTGTATTCTTAGTGGAGATGGGGTTTCACCGTGTTGACCAGGCTGGTCTCGAACTCCTGACCTCAGGTGATCCACTTGCCTTGGCCTTTCAAATTGCTGAGAATTCAGGCTTAAGCCACCACATCCAGCCCAAAGGGATGTTTTTTAAAGATTGTTCTTGATAGAAAATGCCACCATGAAAATAAATAGAAAATAGTCTTAAAATAAAAATATTCTTTAACTTCCCAACACATTGTTTTGTACATATAAGAGAAATACACATTTATTTTTTAAAAACATATTTTGAAAGATTATAATATAACTTCTAGATTTAAATAAATTTATTCACTTATTTTATAACTGAAGCTAAATTAAAAATTGACTAATAACAGAAAAATGAGAATGTGTTTCTATTCAAGTAGTAAGATACCCTTTTTATTTTTGAAGATATGAGATTTTTATTATTGACAATATTAATTTTGAAGAGATGTATGTGTGTGCATATGTGTGTAAAATGAAATAGAGAAATAATTTCTTCTTAAGTTCACAGAATTTCCACTAGCCAGGTATTGAATTCTTCTATACTGTTGTAAATTGATAAAATTCAAATTCTTGACACAAAAAAATTAGATAATACATTCAAAATATTTAGAACGAGGTTTTAAATGGAAGGCAACACAATTCATGACACAGACTTAAGCAATATATTTAATAATATTTAGAACAAGGTTCTGCAGACCCAATTATATTTAGTTAATTTAATTGAAATGTTTTTAAATATATTGTTTCATTGCATTGATCACTAACTTTGAAGGGATTTATTTTTATTAACTTGCAGCATAGAAAGGAGTAAAAATAAACAATACTCATATTTTCCCCAGTTAATGAAAATAAACAAGTATTAGTAAAAAGCTTCTGATCTCTAAGAGTACATAATAGAATTCTTTTTGAGAATAACTGCTGTTTTGACAAATACCATATCCTTCAAGACAAATCGAACAACCAAAAGACAATCTGCCTTTATTTCTCAAAATGACTTTGACCTCAAATTCTGAAACTGACAGGGTGACTTTGCTCAGTGAATAAATATGATACAGAACCTTTTAGAGGGAATCGAATATGCCGAATACCCAAGTGATCTCTCTGTCTCTCTTTTTTTTTTTTTTTATTATACTCTAAGTTTTAGGGTACATGTGCACATTGTGCAGGTTAGTTACATATGTATACATGTGCCATGCTGGTGCGCTGCACCCACTAATGTGTCATCTAGCATTAGGTATATCTCCCAATGCTATCCCTCCCCCCTCCCCCGACCCCACCACAGTCCCCAGAGTGTGATATTCCCCTTCCTGTGTCCATGTGATCTCATTGTTCAATTCCCACCTATGAGTGAGAATATGCGGTGTTTGGTTTTTTATTCTTGCGATAGTTTACTGAGAATGATGGTTTCCAATTTCATCCATGTCCCTACAAAGGATATGAACTCATCATTTTTTATGGCTGCATAGTATTCCATGGTGTATATGTGCCACATTTTCTTAATCCAGTCTATCATTGTTGGACATTTGGGTTGGTTCCAAGTCTTTGCTATTGAGAATAGTGCCGCAATAAACATACGTGTGCATGTGTCTTTATAGCAGCATGATTTATACTCATTTGGGTATATACCCAGTAATGGGATGGCTGGGTCAAATGGTATTTCTAGTTCTAGATCCCTGAGGAATCGCCACACTGACTTCCACAATGGTTGAACTAGTTTACAGTCCCACCAACAGTGTAAAAGTGTTCCTATTTCTCCGCATCCTCTCCAGCACCTGTTGTTTCCTGACTTTTTAATGATTGCCATTCTAACTGGTGTGAGATGATATCTCATAGTGGTTTTGATTTGCATTTCTCTGATGGCCAGTGATGATGAGCATTTCTTCATGTGTTTTTTGGCTGCATAAATGTCTTCTTTTGAGAAGTGTCTGTTCATGTCCTTCACCCACTTTTTGATGGGGTTGTTTGTTTTTTTCTTGTAAATTTGTTTGAGTTCATTGTAGATTCTGGATATTAGCCCTTTGTCAGATGAGTAGGTTGCAAAAATTTTCTCCCATGTTGTAGGTTGCCTGTTCACTCTGATGGTAGTTTCTTTTGCTGTGCAGAAGCTCTTTAGTTTAATTAGATCCCATTTGTCAATTTTGTCTTTTGTTGCCATTGCTTTTGGTGTTTTGGACATGAAGTCCTTGCCCACGCCTATGTCCTGAATGGTAATGCCTAGGTTTTCTTCTAGGGTTTTTATGGTTTTAGGTTTAACGTTTAAATCTTTAATCCATCTTGAATTGATTTTTGTATAAGGTGTAAGGAAGGGATCCAGTTTCAGCTTTCTACATATGGCTAGCCAGTTTTCCCAGCACCATTTATTAAATAAGGAATCCTTTCCCCATTGCTTGTTTTTCTCAGGTTTGTCAAAGATCAGATAGTTGTAGATATGCGGCATTATTTCTGAGGGCTCTGTTCTGTTCCATTGATCTATATCTCTGTTTTGGTACCAGTACCATGCTGTTTTGGTTACTGTAGCCTTGGAGTATAGTTTGAAGTCAGGTAGTGTGATGCCTCCAGCTTTGTTCTTTTGGCTTAGGATTGACTTGGCAATGCGGGCTCTTTTTTGGTTCCATATGAACTTTAAAGTAGTTTTTTCCAATTCTGTGAAGAAAGTCATTGGTAGCTTGATGGGGATGGCATTGAATCTGTAAATTACCTTGGGCAGTATGGCCATTTTCACGATATTGATTCTTCCTACCCATGAGCATGGAATGTTCTTCCATTTGTTTGTCTCCTCTTTTATTTCCTTGAGCAGTGGTTTGTAGTTCTCCTTGAAGAGGTCCTTCACATCCCTTGTAAGTTGGATTCCTAGGTATTTTATTCTCTTTGAAGCAATTGTGAATGGGAGTTCACCCATGATTTGGCTCTCTGTTTGTCTGTTGTTGGTGTATAAGAATGCTTGTGATTTTTGTACATTGATTTTGTATCCTGAGACTTTGCTGAAGTTGCTTATCAGCTTAAGGAGATTTTGGGCTGAGACGATGGGGTTTTCTAGATAAACAATCATGTCGTCTGCAAACAGGGACAATTTGACTTCCTCTTTTCCTAATTGAATACCCTTTATTTCCTTCTCCTGCCTGATTGCCCTGGCCAGAACTTCCAACACTATGTTGAATAGGAGCGGTGAGAGAGGGCATCCCTGTCTTGTGCCGGTTTTCAAAGGGAATGCTTCCAGTTTTTGCCCATTCAGTATGATATTGGCTGTGGGTTTGTCATAGATAGCTCTTATTATTTTGAAATACGTCCCATCAATACCTAATTTATTGAGAGTTTTTAGCATGAAGGGTTGTTGAATTTTGTCAAAGGCTTTTTCTGCATCTATTGAGATAATCATGTGGTTTTTGTCTTTGGCTCTATTTATATGCTGGATTACATTTATTGATTTGCGTATATTGAACCAGCCTTGCATCCCAGGGATGAAGCCCACTTGATCATGGTGGATAAGCTTTTTGATGTGCTGCTGGATTCGGTTTGCCAGTATTTTATTGAGGATTTTTGCATCAATGTTCATCAAGGATATTGGTCTAAAATTCTCTTTTTTGGTTGTGTCTCTGCCCGGCTTTGGTATCAGAATGATGCTGGCCTCATAAAATGAGTTAGGGAGGATTCCCTCTTTTTCTATTGATTGGAATAGTTTCAGAAGGAATGGTACCAGTTCCTCCTTGTACCTCTGGTAGAATTCGGCTGTGAATCCATCTGGTCCTGGACTCTTTTTGGTTGGTAAACTATTGATTATTGCCACAATTTCAGAGCCTGTTATTGGTCGATTCAGAGATTCAACTTCTTCCTGGTTTAGTCTTGGGAGAGTGTATGTGTCGAGGAATGTATCCATTTCTTCTAGATTTTCTAGTTTATTTGCGTAGAGGTGTTTGTAGTATTCTCTGATGGTAGTTTGTATTTCTGTGGGATCGGTGGTGATATCCCCTTTATCATTTTTTATTGTGTCTATTTGATTCTTCTCTCTTTTTTTCTTTATTAGTCTTGCTAGCGGTCTATCAATTTTGTTGATCCTTTCAAAAAACCAGCTCCTGGATTCATTGATTTTTTGAAGGGTTTTTTGTGTCTCTATTTCCTTCAGTTCTGCTCTGATTTTAGTTATTTCTTGCCTTCTGCTAGCTTTTGAATGTGTTTGCTCTTGCTTTTCTAGTTCTTTTAATTGTGATGTTAGGGTGTCAATTTTGGATCTTTCCTGCTTTCTCTTGTAGGCATTTAGTGCTATAAATTTCCCTCTACACACTGCTTTGAATGTGTCCCAGAGATTCTGGTATGTGGTGTCTTTGTTCTCGTTGGTTTCAAAGAACATCTTTATTTCTGCCTTCATTTCGTTATGTACCCAGTAGTCATTCAGGAGCAGGTTGTTCAGTTTCCATGTAGTTGAGCGGCTTTGAGTGAGATTCTTAATCCTGAGTTCTAGTTTGATTGCACTGTGGTCTGAGAGATAGTTTGTTATAATTTCTGTTCTTTTACATTTGCTGAGGAGAGCTTTACTTCCAACTATGTGGTCAATTTTGGAATAGGTGTGGTGTGGTGCTGAAAAAAATGTATATTCTGTTGATTTGGGGTGGAGAGTTCTGTAGATGTCTATTAGGTCTGCTTGGTGCAGAGCTGAGTTCAATTCCTGGGTATCCTTGTTGACTTTCTGTCTCGTTGATCTGTCTAATGTTGACAGTGGGGTGTTAAAGTCTCCCATTATTAATGTGTGGGAGTCTAAGTCTCTTTGTAGGTCACTGAGGACTTGCTTTATGAATCTGGGTGCTCCTGTATTGGGTGCATAAATATTTAGGATAGTTAGCTCCTCTTGTTGAATTGATCCCTTTACCATTATGTAATGGCCTTCTTTGTCTCTTTTGATCTTTGTTGGTTTAAAGTCTGTTTTATCAGAGACTAGGATTGCAACCCCTGCCTTTTTTTGTTTTCCATTGGCTTGGTAGATCTTCCTCCATCCTTTTATTTTGAGCCTATGTGTGTCTCTGCACGTGAGATGGGTTTCCTGAATACAGCACACTGATGGGTCTTGACTCTTTATCCAACTTGCCAGTCTGTGTCTTTTAATTGCAGAATTTAGTCCATTTATATTTAAAGTTAATATTGTTATGTGTGAATTTGATCCTGTCATTATGATGTTAGCTGGTGATTTTGCTCATTAGTTGATGCAGTTTCTTCCTAGTCTCGATGGTCTTTACATTTTGGCATGATTTTGCAGCGGCTGGTACCGGTTGTTCCTTTCCATGTTTAGCGCTTCCTTCAGGAGCTCTTTTAGGGCAGGCCTGGTGGTGACAAAATCTCTCAACATTTGCTTGTCTATAAAGTATTTTATTTCTCCTTCACTTATGAAGCTTAGTTTGGCTGGATATGAAATTCTGGGTTGAAAATTCTTTTCTTTAAGAATGTTGAATATTGGCCCCCACTCTCTTCTGGCTTGTAGGGTTTCTGCCGAGAGATCCGCTGTTAGTCTGATGGGCTTTCCTTTGAGGGTAACCCGACCTTTCTCTCTGGCTGCCCTTAACATTTTTTCCTTCATTTCAACTTTGGTGAATCTGACAATTATGTGTCTTGGAGTTGCTCTTCTCGAGGAGTATCTTTGTGGCGTTCTCTGTATTTCCTGAATCTGAACGTTGGCCTGCCTTGCTAGATTGGGGAAGTTCTCCTGGATAATATCCTGCAGAGTGTTTTCCAACTTGGTTCCATTCTCCACATCACTTTCAGGTACACCAATCAGACGTAGATTTGGTCTTTTCACATAGTCCCATATTTCTTGGAGGCTTTGCTCATTTCTTTTTATTCTTTTTTCTCTAAACTTCCCTTCTCGCTTCATTTCATTCATTTCATCTTCCATTGCTGATACCCTTTCTTCCAGTTGATCGCATCGGCTCCTGAGGCTTCTGCATTCTTCACGTAGTTCTCGAGCCTTGGTTTTCAGCTCCATCAGCTCCTTTAAGCACTTCTCTGTATTGGTTATTCTAGTTATACATTCTTCTAAATTTTTTTCAAAGTTTTCAACTTCTTTGCCTTTGGTTTGAATGTCCTCCCGTAGCTCAGAGTAATTTGATCGTCTGAAGCCTTCTTCTCTCAGCTCGTCAAAATCATTCTCCATCCAGCTTTGTTCTGTTGCTGGTGAGGAACTGCGTTCCTTTGGAGGAGGAGAGGCGCTCTGCGTTTTAGAGTTTCCAGTTTTTCTGTTCTGTTTTTTCCCCATCTTTGTGGTTTTATCTACTTTTGGTCTTTGATGATGGTGATGTACAGATGGGTTTTCGGTGTAGATGTCCTTTCTGGTTGTTAGTTTTCCTTCTAACAGACAGGACCCTCAGCTGCAGGTCTGTTGGAATACCCTGCCGTGTGAGGTGTCAGTGTGCCCCTGCTGGGGGGTGCCTCCCAGTTAGGCTGCTCGGGGGTCAGGAGTCAGGGACCCACTTGAGGAGGCAGTCTGCCTGTTCTCAGATCTCCAGCTGCGTGCTGGGAGAACCACTGCTCTCTTCAAAGCTGTCAGACAGGGACACTTAAGTCTGCAGAGGTTACTGCTGTCTTTTTGTTTGTCTGTGCCCTGCCCCCAGAGGTGGAGCCTACAGAGGCAGGCAGGCCTCCTTGAGCTGTGGTGGGCTCCACCCAGTTCGAGCTTCCTGGCTGCTTTGTTTACCTAAGCAAGCCTGGGCAATGGCGGGCGCCCCTCCCCCAGCCTCGTTGCCGCCTTGCAGTTTGATCTCAGACTGCTGTGCTAGCAATCAGCGAGACTCCGTGGGCGTAGGACCCTCCGAGCCAGGTGTGGGATATAGTCTTGTGGTGCGCCGTTTCTTAAGCCGGTCTGAAAAGCGCAATATTCGGGTGGGAGTGACCCGATTTTCCAGGTGCGTCCGTCACCCCTTTCTTTGACTCGGAAAGGGAACTCCCTGACCCCTTGCGCTTCCCAGGTGAGGCAATGCCTCGCCCTGCTTCGGCTCGCGCACGGTGCGCACACACACTGGCCTGCGCCCACTGTCTGGCACTCCCTAGTGAGATGAACCCGGTACCTCAGATGGAAATGCAGAAATCACCGTCTTATGCGTCGCTCACGCTGGGAGCTGTAGACCGGAGCTGTTCCTATTCGGCCATCTTGGCTCCTCCCTCCTGTCTCTCTTTTTTAATCTTAAAATCAAAACAGCTAATTTTACCACACGGAGGAATTAAACCAGGTGTAACGGCTATAACTTCAAAGATTTTTGTCCTTAAGGCCTAGAGATAATTAAAATAAACACAATGACTTTATTTCTCCTTAATGTGTCATTTATGTACTAGGTTCCTGTTGGGAACTGTATATATTCAAAATTATTTTTAGTTACTGATGAAAAATTAAATTCATTTTATCGTATCTGGATTTTTAATTTTAGTGATAAAGATCAAGGTCATCGGCAATCAACATTAAAATAAATTGGCAAATATAAGATTTTCCCCCTGAAATACATTGGGGAAACATTTGAAATTTTAAAAAACAGTTATAAAATGTACGGAAAAAATATATTACTATTCTCAAACAATAATAAATTCAGATACAATTATTAGTATTTTGGCTTTAAAAAGTTGCTTTTTAGATTTAATGTATTTCCTGAAACTATTCACAACAAATAAAAAATAATTATAATGTTACAGTATGCATCTCCAATGTTATTACCTCCTTGTAGACATAATAGGCATATACTTATTCATTCAAGAAATGTGTATTAGTTATTATTTTTGATATTTGAGGAGTAAATCTCTTTGTAATCAAAAGGAGTCTATTAAGTGAGAAATGGATAACTAGAGATTCAGAATTCTAAGGTAGCATTGAAATAAGATTATTACCCGAAGATATTCCTGGGATTGGCAGTTGTTTATTGAGCTTTTTCCCCAGTATCTGGTGCTAATTTTTATGCACCTATTTACAGCTAAAATAGGAATTGATGGGAAGAAAATATATATGTACCTCTCTAATGCAACAGTATAAAACCCATGAAAGAATAATTCACAAATCTTAATAGAAAGAGAGAGAAAGAAAGGGAAGAAAGTTATTTTTCACTTCCCCTGAGCAAATATGTAATTTCCATGATTTCTTTTTAATGACTGCGGTCTGTAGCCAGTAGGTACTGATTTATGAAAAGCTGTAAAAGATCAGGTGGAGCTCTGTAGGACATCGTTTACAGCTGCATGGATTGAAACCTATCTAATTTGTCTAGTAAAAGTGTGAGCTCACGGTGCACATCACCCAGCCTATAAATTTCCCCTTCAGACCAATGTCTGGGGCTGGGTCTGAAAAAACGCCAATGCCTGCAGCTGCTCAAAGGCCCAGATTCCCTTGGTGCGCATGAAGAGACATCACAGGCTCTTCACAGTGAGAGACAAATTCCTATCCATTGATAAACTCTCCAGATGTCCTCTCTGAGGAGGAAAGGAACCAATTTTTATTTGAAATCCCCAGAGAAATCCTGGAAGTGGAAAAATGATACTTTGCAGGGCTAGTTATTCTGAGGTCATTGGCATTAAAATTAGGTCATTTTTTTTTGTCTTGGATGCACTTTGATCCAAGTCATAAACAGACAAACTCAGTTGGGGTCACTAATCCTTAATCCACACGTCCTGTTCTATTTCAATTTGTTTATACTAATTTTCTCTAAACTCTTGTTGAGTCTGGCTAAAGTGTTGAGTGTAAAAGTACAAACTATTCTGAACTGAGAAGAAAGAATTCTGCATTTTGCTATTAGGCACACTTCATAAATATTCTGAATAAATGTCCTGGGGTTTGATTCTTCATACCCACAAACCCATAAATAAAAAAGTATTACTATTCATGGGACTAAAACTTGACATAAGATTCTGTGCTCCAGCTACTGTAGACAGAGAAACTGTGGCGTGTGCGCGCGCATGCCTGTAGATAGTTTAATGTCTTGTCTCATTCTAGGTTTCACATGATTTTTCTTCTAAAATCTTCTCACACCTGATTTAATGCTATTCTTATCAATTTTTTAGTGGTTCAATGACTTATCCAATGAGTCTAATGTAATGTCTAATGCTTGCTAGTGACAAAGACTATTTCACTCATGATAACTATGCTGAAACAACCCATGAATATTGTGTACATTTTGGTGTATATCTGTAATTACTCAAGTTCTTAGGAAAAGAATAAAAATACAAAATTTTCAATTATAAAAATAAGCTGTTTTTCTTCCTAAGATGAGTAATTTAAAAAATCATAAAGTCGTTTGCATATATGTTTCAGAAGAAGATAACTTATGAAATGTTATATTGATATTTTATAGTTTTCCTGATATTGCTAAAGGAAAAAATTAATATTTATATAATATGGCCCAATCCTTTTTTAGATAATCTCTGAGAGTTAGTAAAACTAAACTATATCAGAGAAATAGAAATTATAAACTCCATAATTAAGATTTTCAATTTATAATTTGAACTTGTGAAGTAAAAAGGATTGAGGTAATTGAGTTTAGTCTAGTGGACAGAAGTTTGAAGAATCCTTCCCTTTCAACTTCCCTCCACTACACAAATGACCATCACAGAGAGGGGACTATTAATCTATATTTTCCACAGAGTATGTAAATAGAGTCAGAACCAATGTTGCAATTTTTTTTTCCTGAAACTCAGGGTTAAAACTGCACTAAAATGTGACCATTTTTATCAAATACGTTTCATGCATCGCTGTAAAAATCCAGATAGTGAATTCACAAACTTCTCATATGTTCCAAGTAATAGCATGTAGGTGTAGGGCACGATCTAAAATTATCCTGGCTCACGAATCAACTTTACACTTGAGCAGGTCTTTTGTACATAAGAGAGTAAGTTGAAGAATATCACCAGAAGTGGTATAAACCTCTCAATTAAAAGACCTATTTAAGTGTGCGCAGAGCTGGCACAGATTTGCTTCATAGATTTTCTCATTTAGAACAGGAGCTTTTACCACATATCCTAGATGGTAATCAATGATTGCTACTCATATGTAAAACATTATACAGTTTTATTTCATGTATATTGTTCATTTTGCTATTTCATGCTATTTCTAAAGATATTGAAATTAGCCCCTTAGAGACCTAAATTTATGTCTAAAATAAGGATAAATGCATGTCGATATATTATTTGTTTTGGTGTCTTCTCACCACAAATTCTAAACTTTGAATTTAAACACTTCAAATGACAGACTTCACTTAGACTAATCTTTCATTTCAAGTATATAAGAAAAATATGAAGTTCTAGTTTTAATACTCCTAATTTTGGAGATTTTTATTGAAAGATTCTGAAGAACTAAAACGGCAAAAAATCAAAATATACCCTCTTAATTATTAAATAAAGATTAAATTATATATAAAGTTTTAACATTAATACTATATTTTATTACAATAATGAAAAAAATCACAGACAGCAGAATAGCACTTCTGTTTTCAAGCATTTGCAGTGGAATGATTGTGAAGTTGTAAAAGTTACTGACTATTCTAATGAAGCCCCTAATAATGGCTACTTTTCAGGGTTGTTATACTATTATGTACATAATATTATATATGACTAAATTTCTAGTTACTTAAAATGGTGGTTAACAAGATCATTGCATTCCCAGCATTATATATAAACTGATATTTACTCTGCTATTTTCTTTTTGAAGTTTTCAGAAGTTTAACCATTTCACCATTTACATAAGAATAATGAACAGCTAACACATAGTGCTTATTATGAGCCAGCACTGTTCTAAGTGCTTCCCACATATGCTCATTTAATCTTCATTTGTGTGAAATTGATATCCTCACCATCATCCCCATTTTACAGATGAGGAAACAGACAAGAAATTCACCAAGGTCACACAAATAGTATGTGGTATACCTGGGATTCAACCCAGGCCTTACGGTTCCAGTATCTGTGCACTAAACTTCAGGGCATATAAACATCGAATATGCCACATGATGGAATCATAAATCATTTAAGAAAAAACAGGGGAAATGCAATATGAACAAAGTTTTACCTAAATGGCACAGTGTACCAGTCAAGAATGTGGACTGTGGTATAGAATAATGTGGGTCTAAAGGCCAGCTCTGCCTCTTTTGCCTGAGGAAACTTAGCTTCGTAACTTAATGTGATTTAGTTTCAGCTTCTTTATCTATCTCAGAGGATAGCATCAGTGCCTAACAGGTACTGTAAGGATTAAGGTCCTTCATGTCTGTGTAATATTCTTAGCATGATGCCTGCCACATTGAGTGCACATGAACGTTTGATATAATATGAAAACAAGGGCCTTAAAAACTTATTTCTGTCATTGTTATTATTCATCCAAAACTAAAGGCTTTTATAACTACCTTGTGCCCAAGCTCCCTTCCTTAGGAGAAAAGAAGAGAGAAGTCAATATATTGTTCACCTAGTGACTGGCTCCAGTCTTATAAGTCAAAGGACAATTAAAGAGGCCACTAAGAGCTGAAGAAAAAAAAAAACACACCAAAGACATTTCACCAACAGTCTGCTTCTTTTGCCTCTTCAGGGAGGCAAACATTGTCTCATTCATTTCCTTTATGCCTCTTCTGTTCCATTGATTTACCAGGTCTTGCAGGTGGTTATAGATAGATGTTTAGGCCTGTATTTATATAAAAAAATCCTAGAAGGAAGTCCTTTTTCTTTCTCTCTTTCTTTTTGAGACGGAGTTTCGCTCCTGTTGCCCAGGCTGGAGTGCAATGGCATGAACTCGGCTCACCGCAACCTTCGCCTCCCAGGTTCAAGCGATTCTCCTGCTTCAGCGTCCCGAGTAGCTGGGATTACAGGCATGTGCCACCATGGCTAATTTGGTATTTTTAGTAGAGATGGAGTTTCTCCATGTTGGTGAGGTTGGTCTCGAACTCCTGACCTCAGGTGACCCGCCGGCCTCAACCTCCCAAAGTGCTGGGATTACAGGAGTGAGCCACTGCGCCCGGCCCTTTTTCTTAAAGCTGATTGTATTGTGCAATATAAATCACAATTACAATCCCTCTCTGAGTCTCTGTGTGTGTGTGTGTATGTGTGTGTGTATATATATAAAATATTATGTATATATCATGTGTATATAAACACATTACATATATAATGTATATATCATGAATAATGTGTTGCATATATATATCATGAACTTCATTTGGTGTCAAGTATGCAAGAATGTTTTTTCTTATCAGTCATCTACTTTTTTCTATTATTTTTTATTTTTAATGACATGCAGCATTATTTAACTCTGTATTGAGTTTATGTCCTGCTGTGAGTGTAGCCTAGATTGTTCAAGCCATTCTTTAGACAGCAACCTGTGCAATGTCAAACAAACAAACAAACATCCAGTGGGAAATACTTAAAATATTGAAACTGAATCCATCATCAAAGCAGACAGCAAAGAATTCAGTGTGTCCTGCCTACTGTAACCGTATCCTAAATTACTACCATTTTTGCTAGTGATTAAATTCAATGATAATAAAATATGTATGGATATATTTATGTCTTTCACTGGAAAATTTTCAGTGATTTAAAAGCATTTGTGGATGGAGAAGGGGAGAACTTAGACAAGATGATTACACGGCGTTCCTCCAAGCTGCCAGCTTGAACAGATGAAGCTTTCATGGCAGATAAATTCCACAAATGAAAGGAACACCATATGAAGTCTGGAAGTTCCTGCCGATGTTAGTGTCAAATTTTGACACACAGCAACTCTGCTGACTCCTGATCTGTCTCCCTTTGGTGTTTTTTTTCTTGCAGGCCATCAAACCTTCTTCTGGACCAAAGCAATGTGGATATCACTACCTTCCGCACAACAGGTGACTGGCTTAATGGTGTCTGGACAGCACACTGCAAGGAAATCTTCACGGGTGTGGAGTACAGTTCTTGTGACACAATAGCCAAGATTTCCACAGAGTAAGAAAAAAAAATTCATTAAGAAGAATGAAGGATTCTTTTGAACTTTCTTGGCTTGACATGAAAGATTTGTAACATCTTGGCTTGACATGTTACAAATATTAGTGGTAGATCTGAGGTACTGACTACCGCCTGGAACTGCTAATCAGGGCCCTGGGTCTCCTTGTGGCCCACAGCTTCTGGATTGATACATATTGATGTGTCTTCCTCTCTCAAGATAGGGCCCAGGATCGGTGTCTTTAGATATGACCTTCAGATCAACCAACAGATTCACACCCATAACCACACTGCAGACTCAAGCCCCTAATTTAAAACATAAGCAGACATAGATTGATGATTATTATATTTCTGCATTTTGTGATTTTTCTGTTATTTTTACTAAAGCTTAACATCTGTGAATCAGGAAAATTGAGAGCCAAGTAGATAATGTGGTATACAAGGAAACATATTAAAGTCTAAAACTGGTTTTCATAGTTGCTAAATAAACATAACAACATGTATTCATCATTGTCTACCCTGTAAAGGATATCATGCTAGAAAATGAAGTTATAATTAGGTTTAAGATAGAATTTTTGGGTTTTCCTCAAAAGGCTTATTGCCAGATGAGAAAGAAAAAATATGCGTCATAATATTAATATTAATTGATAGCTTTATGTGTTAAAAACCAATAATAATCAAGTATAATATGCTGTATTTTGTGGACAATCATCTTTGGGTAACAGGAATCTTTTGATATGAGAAACACATGGACTCAAGGAAAGGTGGTATATAAAGAATCAAGTGAATCCAGTGAATAGTCAAAAATTTGGTTCTTATTCACAAAGTAGAGTGTTTGGGAATTGATAAATTAAGAGTTGGAAGTCACATTCTTCATCTCACTGTGATTGAGAACCAATTTACTTCACTTCCTAATGTGACTACATAATTTTTTCTTTTTCTGCACAGTGACATTTTCTGGATTCCCATGCGCATAGCTAAAAACTGGCTTTCTAAACTCTTGGTCATATAGCCTTATAGTGCCATTCAACTGACCAGGGTCCAACTCCCTTAATCTAAGTTACCAGGAGAGAAAGTAGGACTGGCTCAGTCCCACTTGTACATTGGCACCTCCAAAGTCATATGTTTACTAGTATCTAGTCATTTATCTTCAAAAGAAGTAGAATGAGGTAGTATGAACTTGGCTCTAGGGGCCTTTTCCTGAAGATAAGATGGAGAACTGTCCCAAAGAAAGAAGTGTATACTGGATAGATACACCAAAAGTTGTCCAGCATGTTGTCGCTTGCATGGTCTATTGGGAAACTGTTCATCTTTGTGTCAGTCTTTCTTTGATCTTTGTTAAATTAAATAAACCCTTTAGTCCCCCAAGTTTAAGTATTATCATCTCCCACTAATATTTAAATATTTAAATATTGTTGAATATATAAAGACTTTCATTGCCACCCTGTCAATCATTCAACATCACTGTGAAAAATAACAGATTAGATGCCAGAAAAGAACATGCCATGTAATTAATAGATATAAGTGCCCAACAAACAAATAAATAAGTTTATAATTTATGGTGTAACATTACAATCAGAAAGACATAAAGCCAAAGAAGGACTTACAGGAACAGTTTACGATTATTGAAGAAGAGGACTTGTTCTAAAAAAATAAACTTACCCTAGTCAATTTAACATGCACCAGCATTCTTGTTCAAAGTGGAATGTGGTGTTTATTGAATAGACTTCTGACCCAATCGACAGTACACTTGGGTTTCTGTGGTACTTATTTTGATCAGATACAGTCTCAGGATATAGTCATGTGTTTAAATATTTTTATAAATTCTTATTTTAGTAATATAAACAGTTAGGGTTATGATACACAAAACACCTGCTGTAGAGCACAGAAGCATAGCGAAAAGCAAACACAAAGTTGAACATGTCCACATCACTGCCAGATTTTCAAAGGCAAAGTTATGCAAATGTTTACTCTCAATAAAATATCAACACTCAAAACTTTTAGATATTGAAACACTATATTGAAATGTATGAGGCAGAACACTGTTGATAAGATTAACTGCTAGTTTGCAATTCAAATATTGTCAGCCATTATAAGCTATGAATGTGATAAGAAAGCTATTTGCTTTAAAAAAGTGAATGACAGCATTTGTCATACTTTCCAAGTTAGCGACATTACTTATGTCAGCAATACCATGTTGGACGTCAAACTCTTTTTGGCTGATTGGAATATTTTTACTTAATTGTTATTATTATTTGAACAACCTGTGAATATACATTCAAGATGAAAACTGACTTTTCCTGAAAGACAGCTTTTTCAGGTTTGTCCTGCACACTGAGTCAGGTGGTATGGATATGTCCATATTGCACTCCCCACAATATTCCTTCTTCTGTCCTTTCTCCTCAATTCAGGGACAATATAGGATTAACACCTTTGCCCTAACACTCCTTCTTGAAAGGAGCTGCTTTTTTCCTTGAGTCTTCATAGTGTCATGCACCTCATGCTCCTAATTTATATTACAAAAAGAGAATTTATTAAAAGTCTTTAACATACTAATAATTTGGGTAAATATAATGAGGCAACATTTTCAGCATAAATGCTGTAAAATATTGAGCTAGATATTTTAGCTTTCTTTCGGGTTCCTGGCTTATTGTTTGAATTTGATTGCTTTCAGTCTGTATTTTCTTTGTGCCATCCAGACTCAATTCAGAAATGATTTGCTCGACCAAATAACTGTGGAGATCCTCCTAGAATAGAAAAAGATACCTTTATTCCTATTCAGGCTGTCAAAGTATAGGAAAAGATCAATAAAATTTCACATTCAAATGCATATTAATTTATTTTCGTTAGTTTAGAGATTTCATTGACATGCAAGCTACTCAAGTTATCTCATTTTTGAACAAAGCCCAGAACACATGCAATTTTGTTTAATAAATACATATTTCAAGACATTATTTCATAACCTAAGATGGATTTAGGAAGGTTAAAGTGAGAAAGGAAGAGAGAAAGGGAAAGGTTAGAGTGGCTGTGACTGTGGAACTAGAAAGAGAATTAAGTGTGTGGAATGAATATTAAGCAGATTCATTGCCACATGTCATTATCCTGCACCCTTGGATGCCATTTTCAAAGTGTCATCACCTATCCCTTTGCCTTTGAAGTACCAGATAACACTTTAACCTCTGGTCTCAGTCTGGAGCTGCTCTTTAGTCTTGAACTTTTCCGCCACTCTTCTGAACAGGACAGTCAAAATGAAATGAGCACACAGAGTGTTATGGAGACAGCAGCAACTGGGGGTTCCAAATTATTTTGGACATGCAGAGTAGTGGACAGAAGATATTCGGGCAAGAATAGAGAGACTAGAGGGTGTTTAAAAGCCCTAGCTAAGGAATAACCCAAATGGATAATTACTTTAATTCTCTTTTCAAAAGTCCAATATAATCATTTGCATTAAGTAAAAAAATTGTATATAAAACATTTATATGTAGTATATTTATATAAATATATAAAAATATATATTATATATTATATATAATATATAATGTTTATATATTGTAGATAACATATATAAACATGTATATATATATAAACATGTATATATATAAGCATATTATATATATATATGTTTGCTTATATTGGGTTCACAGATACAGAATGTAAAACAGTTTTTTGCAGAACATTTCTTGAGGAATACACTCAGGAGGTGCAGCTATGAAGAAGTGATGAGGAATGTCTCAAATCAGTCTGTGAACTCAGCATCACATTTTTTTTTCCAGCCACTTGGGGATGAGTGCTTCAGTTCAGAAGGAAGATCAGGGCCAAACATCATAGCAAGCAGCACTCAGTAACTATGCTTAAATTTCTCAAAGAGCTCAGGCAATTACTGCATTGGAATATATAAATATTATATATATATATTTACTCATATAATATAAATATTATATATATTTACTTTCCATGACTATTATTATTTTTATTTATTTATTTATTTATTTATTTATTTAATTTTTTTGAGGCGGATTCTCGCTCTGTCGCCCAGGCTGGAGTGCAGTGGCGCGATCTCGGCTCACTGCAAGCTCCGCCTCCTGGGTTCACGCCATTCTCCTGCCTCAGCCTCCGGAGTAGCTGGGAGTACAGGCGCCCGCCACCACGCCCCGCTAATTTTTTTGTATTTTTAATAGAGACGGGGTATCACCGCGTTAGTCAGGATGGTCTTGCTCTCCTGACCTCGTGATTCACCCGCCTCGGCCTCCCAAAGTGCTGGGATTACATTCCATGACTATTATTTTAGGAAGGGGAAAGGGAAGAGACAAAGGACAAAAAATCATCTAGTCATAAAACATAGGATATGGTATTGGAAGAAGATGAAAGAAAAAAGAAAGAGTGAGAATCTATTGATTTGCATACCCATACTTGTATCTGTCCTGTTTTCTGGCTCTAGACTCAAAAACTGACTTTGCTGTCGTTTGGGGATAAGTGGAGAAATGTTTATTCTTTGTTTTAAAGGTAGATTCATGGTATGTTTATCAAAATCCTGTAACGCACATTCTCAAAGGCAGGGATCAACAGAAGTAGCATACATTACTCCAAGTGAAGGCTTCCATCATCCGCAGTACACTAAGCGTGGCAAGCCTCACATTCCCATACATCCCCACTAGCCTTCCTGAGAAAGAGTATGATCAGATAGGGCCTAAGGCAAGGCACAAGCTCTCCAGAGAGGATTTATCAGCCCTTTGACAGTCAGCAGGGAGGGAACCTGAAGGTCATCAGGAACCTTCTCAGCCCAGATGGTAGGAATTCAGTAGAGTCTCGGTTAATTTAATGCCCTAATGCTTAAATAACAACTACATTTCTTCTCAAATGGTTACCTATTGTTTTCTTGAACACCTTTATTGCCTAGGAACCCATTTCTTAAGAAATCGATTAATCCATTTCTGTGTAGTTGAATTCCCAATTTTTTCTTTCTTTATGCTCAGTATAAAGGAATCCCCTCTGTGTGTGTGTGTGTGTCTGTGTCTGTGTGTGGTGTGTTCACACGTGTTCTTTTTTCCTTGCCATTCTCAATTTTCCTGGCTCTCCTTGACAAATGATACTTTACGCCCTGGTCATCTTTACCCAGAAAAATATATTTTGTATGTTTCTTTCTTTAGCAAATTTGTATTGAGCCCACTAACTGGCAGCCATTGTTTAGGTTGCTGTTGGTAAACAGAGTACGAGAAAAAAAAAAGAATCCCAGTTCACATGGAATTTACCTTCTTGTGGAGTAAGATAGGGAATAAAGAAAATAAATCAGAAAGAAAGTCAATATGTCAGATGGTAATAAATGCTTTGGAAGAAAATGAAACAAGAAAAGAAAACAGAAAGTGCAGATACAAGTACAGAAAAGTTTTAAAATATTAAATAGGAGGGTTGGGGAAGATTTCATTAGAGGGGGATGTTTGAGCATCTCTCAATCCTGAAAGACAGGAATATATGAACTAATTACTTGAAACAAGAATATATAATTAACCATTTGCACATTAGCTGTCTTTTTTACCTAAATGAAATTCCTTATGTTTTTATAATCTTTATTTTAATGCCTACTTTCTGACTTTAAATTATTATATATTTAATAAAAGAGATAGGTCTTTGTCATTGTTTTTCTACTTTGAAAGAACTGTGTACTTTAATGAGATTATTCCAGTTATCTATGGCTGCACAGCAGCCTCCCCGAAAACTTAAAGGCTAAAACAGCAAGAGGTTTATTATACATCATAGTGTTGTGGGTTATAAATGAGGGCAGAGCTCAGGTGGGTGATTCTTTGTGCTCTGAGGTTGATGTTGACAGAAGCTTACAGCTGCCAAATGGACTGATCTGGTGTGGAGGGCTGGAGATGCTTTCATTTCGACGTCTGCCTTGGTACAGTTAGCTGTACAGCTGGTCTCACCTGGGATTGTAGGCCAAGGTGCTTACATATGGCCTCTCCTGTGAAATAGTATCAGGTAGTCAGACTTTTTATATGGCAGCTCTAGAGCCCCCAGAGAGGATATCTCAAGCAATAAGTAGAGGCTGGCAGTTTCCTAAGACCTGAATGAAGAAAGTGATACAATGTCAATTCTGGCGTACTCTGTTAGCTGAAGCAGTCCCCAGATTCAAGGGAAAGAGATAAAACCCCACAAAGAATGTGTGATCATTGATATTAGTTTCCTAAGGCTGCCACAAGAAGTTACCACAAATTTATTGGCTTAAACAACAGAAGTTTTTTCTTAGAATTCTGGTGGCAGAAGTCTGAAATCAAGATGTTGGCAGTACCATAATTGCTCCAGTCTCTAGGGGTGAATTCTTCCTCGTCTCTTCTAGTTTCTGGTGGATCCTGGTATTCTCTGGATTGTGGCAACATAACTCCAATCTCTGACTCCATTTGTACATCGCCTTCTTCTCTGTGTATCCTATTCTCTTATAAGGAAACTGTCACTGGATTTATGTACCACCCTAATCCAGTAAGATATTTTCCCAATCGGTGTATTAATTACATCTGCAGTGACCCTCTATCCAAATAAAATCGCATTTTGAGGTTTGGGATTGACAGAGATTTTGGGGAAACTCTATTCAACCCACTACACCATCTATATAGCCTTCTACAAGATGGTGGAACGGTCCGGACATAACACAGATGATGCAAATATCAGACAATTAGGTCCACAGTACTAGAATATAACATCGTGCAAATTGTGCTAATTGAAAATCTCCTGCTTATACACTATCGAGGAAACCGATTCTTATATTGTTTTCTTTTTTTACAGTGACATGAAAAAGGTTGGTGTCACCGTGGTTGGGCCACAGAAGAAGATCATCAGTAGCATTAAAGCTCTAGAAACGCAATCAAAGAATGGCCCAGTTCCCGTGTAAAGCACGGGACGGAAGTGCTTCTGGACGGAAGTGGTGGCTGTGGAAGGCGTAGCATCATCCTGCAGACAGACAATAATTCTGGAGATACTGGTGGAAGTTCCAAGTCCAATAAGACACTCAAATATGAGTACAAATGCCTTAAAATGGAATTGAAAAACTCTTTATTTTCCCCTATCATTTATTGGATGGGTGGGTGGGGTATTTTTTTGTAATTGCTTTTTTAAATATTAGTTAATGGATTAAATTTAATTCTTCAGCGTAAAATGGTGAAGAACTAGCATATAGCCATTGATCATAAACTGACTATCATAAAATCAAAACAAGTGAAATAACAAAATGGACATGGTGGCTTTGTTTAGGTAGAGCCACAAAAGAAAAGACTTGTAATATTTTTATATACAGAGGAAATCTGTAACAGGTATTTTGTTTCTTTTAAAGCAAGCAACACAGAGGAATTTATACCTCAAACTATCTGGCCATATTTACTACCTTATCACTGCATTATTCTCTTTTATCTGTTTAAAGCATATAGAGATGAAGTTTGTAGTTGTTTTAAGTACTACACATTTTTAAATTGTTAGCTTCCTTAAGTATATCATGTAAAGAAATGTCTTAATTTTTGAAAAAAGTACATATTTATTTTCTTTTGAATTGTTTTTATTGTTTTCTATTTATGCCTTGATGATTTAATATGGATTTGTTACAGCCAAGTGCCAAATGCTCTCTCAAATTGTCAGCAATTTAACTAGACACAGATAATAATGGGTTTCTTTCAGATTTTTTGAACCATCCACTTACATATATTTTTAAAAAATGAAATCCTTTTCCTGTTCATACACTAACCAAATCTCTCAAATCTGTTATCCCAATCATTGTTGCCTCTCCGTTTATTATAAACTGTATGCTCACAACTTAGTGTAATATACCAGCTTGTATGCAATGGATTTTCAACCAGATAACATACCTTTCCTGCTCTGGTGCTTAGAGACTATCAACTCCCTCCTTTAGTGAAGGAGCCGTGTTAGAGCTTCCGAGAATAGCTCCACTGGAGAGAAGTGGAATCCTATATAGAATGCTGCACTAATTGACAACACAGCCTATAGGCCAATGCATGAGTAAAAAAAAAAACAATTACTGGCTCACTGGCTTTGAAAAGTCACTTACTATTGTTGCTGAAACTTGCTGAGCTGTTTATAGAGAATGATGATAACAGAACTTTTCCTCTGTATCACTGGTGTTTAGGTGAATTAATTAAACATTGTGATCATTAGTACCAGGTATTATTATCTTTAAGAGTCTTCCACTTCAATGCACATGGTGCAGTTTTGGTGTGTAACTTAGAAGGATTGAACTTCTTTGAATTTACTGGACATAACATTTTCAGAATAGTTGGTCATCTAGCAACCGCCTCAAAATGTGTAAGCAGGAGAGAAATTTCTCATCACAGGGATTTAGACTTACTATTACATAAAGGCTAACTATGAGCTTGCTCATTAATTTTGAAAAGATGTACCTGGTGGATATCTAGCTAGTAATATATTCTGAAGCAACATTTTAGCTCTATTGATACTCTTTCTAATGCTGATATGATCTTGAGTATAAGAAATGCATATGTCACTAGAATGGATAAAATAATGCTGCAAACTTAATGTTCTTATGCAAAATGGAACGCTAATGAAACACAGCTTACAATCGCAAATCAAAACTCACAAGTGCTCATCTGTTGTAGATTTAGTGTAATAAGACTTAGATTGTGCTCCTTCGGATATGATTGTTTCTCAAATCTTGGCAATATTCCTTAGTCAAATCAGGCTACTAGAATTCTGTATTGGATATATAAGAGCATGAAATTTTTAAAAATACACTTGTGATTATAAAATTAATCACAAATTTCACTTATACCTGCTATCAGCAGCTAGAAAACATTTTTTTTTTAAATCAAGTATTTTGTGTTTGGAATGTTAGAATGAGATCTGAATGTGGTTTCAATCTAATTTTTTCCCAGACTACTATTTTCTTTTTTAGGTACTATTCTGAGCATACTCAACAAAACCCATGCATTTCATAAACTAATAGAAGTTGAGGATTGTTGAATCTATTTCACTTATTTTGGCTGTGGTTTCCATCTGAAAGTAGAGGTTGTATACACCATATACTGTTCTTCATTTTATTAATATTTTTCTCCTTGACCTCTCATAAATTTACTTTACACAATTCTTACCCTGTACATATGTAAACATAAGTGTACGATTCTTAACCATGGAGTAGAGGTACTAGAATGCTTACGGCCATCTCTTTGTACAGGAACTGCATTGACTTTCAGTAAACATAAAGCCACAACTCCTACATGATGTTATGTACCATATGATCTGTTTTGTATCTTAAATTTGATTTACATATATTATTTATTTCTGGTAACTCACTCAGTTTATGCTGTGCTAAATATCAATCAAGCCATGTATAAATGTGATATGATTGGCAATATGTGTTTACTTTAAACTTGTCTTTTCAAAATATTACTCAGTTTATGTTGTACAATGTAGATGGCCTCTTACTAATGTAAAATGATTTGTAGTGGAAACATTTATATTTTTATAATAAACATAATGAAAATATTTTTTACAGATTGGAATACAGAAGTGGTCTTTGAAGTTTTTTAAAAATATATAAAACTATGTGCTTATTTAAACAGCAAAATAATGAAATTTACATAAGTCACAAAAATATGCTTCTGGGCTTTTATTCTCCATTAGTGAGGAGGGATTTACATTGTATAATCCACATGTTTTTGGTCTACATCTCATTATGAATAAGCCAGAAAAATAATCAGTAAATGTTATTTCAAAGTTAATAAACACAACTGTAATAGACAGTTCTCTTTTGATTGCAAATAACAGAAAACAAATAAATTGGATTAATTTTCTAAAAAAGAAAATGTTTAGAATAAGTGACAGAATTATCTGGGGATAAACTCCCTAGCTAAGAGATCAGACACAGATTGAACCAGGAATTCAAACAATGTCAACAGGGTTAATTCTCTCATTCTTTGTCTTCTTCCCTTGGCCCTATTTTTTTTCCAACTGGGTTGATTTGCAAGCTATACCTTTCTACAAGGTAAAAAATACTACTCTCTTTAATCTAATTCTGCATTGCAACTCCTATGAAAGAATTACTGTCTCTCTAGTTCCAACAGAGATCATGAGGCCTTTCTTGGATCACAAGCCCTATCATTTTGGGCTGGAGAATGAATCACTCAGATTGGCAAGTACTGACTCCTGTGCTTGCCCTTGGAGATAGTGTGTGGGGTTATATGAAAGTGATGCTCAGGGGTTAGAGGTGTAAAAGTAATTTATGTCCAACAGAAAGTCAGAATACTGTTTATGACAAACGAAGAAAGGAATTCTGGCCAGGTCAAATAAAGCAAGTAAAAATTAAAAAAAAAAAAAAAAGTACAACTGCACACCTGATACTTTGTATACAATAGGTCCCTTGTCATTGCAGTCCACTTAAAGAAAATGATTATATATGAAAATCAAAAAAAGCTAATTCAAAAATATGCAAAATAAAATAAGTGATCAACATTCCCATAGAGAAGGAAGTGGTTAGGAAGAGATTAAAAAAACAGGTCTGATTTGTGTTTGCCTTGAAGGAGAAATAGCATTTGGTCAAGTTGAGTGGAGTAGAGAATACCTTGTAAGCAGGAGATAAGTTAGTTAAGTTAAGGGGAAGAGAAGAGGTAAATAATATATTTATTCATTCAATAAATACATAGTATGCATGATCATGAGCCAGTTGTTTTGCTATCATCATTTACAAGTTACCTCATTAAATCGTTTGCAACAGTGCTGTGAATGGAGATGAGCTACTTTTATCTGAGAAAGGACTCCAGGCTCAGAATGTCCAAGTCACCTTCCCAAGGTCACCCTAGTATGTAGATAGATATTTCAAACTGGAATCTTCCTATTCTGTATTCCTCCCATCATGTGATAGCTACTATAATCTCCACAATGCTCTGGGGACAGTGGCAATGACAATTTGCAGAAGAGGCTTGGGGGAGACTAGGTCTAATAGACTATGTGATGTTAGAAATCTATTTTGGTATTCTATGCACAAAGATATACATCTACCCCAGGATGGTGGTAATAGAGATGTGAAGAATGGAAAGCATACAAAAATATATAAAAGAAAGAGGATTAACAAAATTTACCGATTTGTTCTGAGAATTCTTCGAAAGATAGAAATCAAAGCAAAACAAAAATTTAGGTCTTGAGTGTCTGTGGAAATGATGGCACCATTAGTCCAAGTAGAGAATAAGGAGAAGTCAGCTTAACATCATGGGTTTGTCAAATATATAGTGTAAGCCAGACTTTAATAAGTTACTAAGTATTGGGGATGAGAATCTGAAGCTTTAAGAAAAAGAATTCAAGGGTAAAAATGTATATGGAAAGATGTCTTTGAAAGTATGTAAAGATCTACATTACAAATATTTATGTGTTTCCTATATAGACATATATTTTTCTTGGAAGACCTCTTAGGTTAATGCTAGCTACATAGTTAAGTTCTCAAATATTATCAACTTAAAATAATAAAAATATGTTTTTTAACACAGAATGATCCAAAGTAGGTGTTTGCCAGGTGGCCTTCTTTGCAATAATTAAGAATCTACACTTTCTCCATCTTGTCGAGCCTTGAAATCCTCTACTTCCAGCCAGGAAAATGAAGGAGAGGATCATTTGGGGGGATTTTATGAACTCTGCTTGTAAGTGGTACATACCACTTCTTCTCTGGTTCCACTGGCAACAACTCAACCACACTGGCATACTTAACTGCAAGAGAACATAAAGAGAGTTGTCTGACAGTGTGCCTAAATAAAAATGGAAAATTTCTGGAATTTATATCACAATCTCTGCCACAACTCCTTTTAACATAAATAATATGTCAGAGGCAGATTGTTCTAAAAAGCTTATCAGAGAAACATCAGTTTCTTGCTAACTGTGCCAATTTCTTTTCCTCTATAGGCAACCATTTTTCATTCTTTTCTCTTATTACATAAATCCAATACCTCTACTAATGGCACTTGTCAGCTATGTGAGTACACTGCTCAGATTTCCTTTCAAGAGAGTTTCTTGCAAGAGAGCAGTTAGCTGACAACTGTGAGCTGCTATATTTTCAAAATCCCCAGCATATTTTTAGCAGGCCATGCTCTACCTTGGTTAATGCCTGTCAATGACTGAGTATGGTGGAAGTACTAGTGCCAGGCCATTTCTTCACAAGTGGTAAATCCCTTTAACAAGCGTATTTTGTGTTCTAATCATCCTGACTGAAGCTTGCTCAGGCATACCCTACAGTCTGATCTCCCTACTACTCAATTTTCCTTCCTTCACTCTTTCCTTTTATAGGTGTCAGAACTGTATTTCTATCTGCAAGCTCCTTGTGTTTTCTCTTAAACCCTGTTCCAATGATGTTACCCAGGCATTTCTAGCAAAAAATATTTGCGGGTTTAATTCTTTCTGTGTCTGATTCTTGAAAATCTTAAACTTAGATGACTCTCAAGTTGACTCACTTGGAAAACTAAAATGTTATCCTTCATTCTTCTCTCTGCCTTTTCTTCAGTGTCTAACTGATCCCCTAACAATGCCACCTTAGAAACGCTCACTCTCATCCCTTTTCTCTACTGCCCAGCAGAATCTCTGTTGGATCCTCATTACTTTTCTGAGTTACAGATGGAATTTCTTAAATTGTGCCCCTGATTCTAGTCTTGATATCTTCAACCTACAAAAGTAGGTTGAATATGCAGCCAGACTAATACGGCAAAGTTAATGTTGTAGTTCCTCCTCAGGAGGCTTGCAAACGCAAATGCCTCAGGGAACTGGCAGGTTATATAAATGAGTGAAGCAAGTGAAGAGTGTGGTGACCCATAAAAGTGCCTTTTCTTCCACGAAAAGCAAATTTCTCAGGTGTAAGGCAACACCGATCCAGTATGAATTCCTGGTTTTTCCTTTTCTTTGTTTTTAAGGTTTAAGGAAACTAGGTTTTAATTTTTTAAGTTTTTGTAGGTACATGGTAAGTGTATATATTAATTCTTGATTTTTCAAGAGAATCCTTAATCTGAGTCTTTGTGGAAAAATTTCTATATATTTAAATTATAACCCACTTATTTATGAACACACACACACACACACACACACACACACACACACTCTGAATTTACCCTGCAGCTGCCAACTTTTTATTTCTAAAATACAGACTACTCATTGGTATTGGCACATGAGACCTATCTTGAATAAAACCCGGCTTCTCTCCTTATTTTCTGGTTAACCCACTACCTCCTTACACTCTATACAACTGTACTGACCCACTTGTAGTTCTCTGAGTATTCCACTTTCTTAATGCATCATAGCTTTTGACTTTTTTGATCTTTTGTCTAGAATCACTTAGCCAATCTCTAATCATTCTTCAGGTCCTCTTATATCCCTAAAAACTGGGTTAGGTAACCCTTCCTCGTGCAGCAGTAGAACCCTGTACTTAATACTGACACACACTATCTTAACCAAAATTGCCTATTCTTTATGCCCTATCTTTACTTCTAGCTGAGGACACCTTGAACTGTGTTTTGCAAACCATTGTTGTTGCATCACCTATTGCAATTTTCCTGGTATATAATAAACACAAAATTTTTTTGAGTTGAATTAATATATTAAAACAATGTTTGATGGCATTATAAATGGCAATGTATCTGATTATTTTTTCCCCGTAGGAAAAAGTGTAAATTTCCTTCAGCTCAATAAAGCTAGTTAATGTTCTAGTTATATATCTTGGATCATTGAATATACTGATCTCTGCTAGAACTGGTTCATTTTCATAGAATTTTGTGGACTTGTTTCATTGGTCTCAATGCTCCCACTTTTCTTAGTGCAGTTAAGTTGTTTAAGTAGACCCTTGAACCAGAGCTTAGCTATAAAAATTTAACAAGGTAAATGCCAAAGCTTTTCTGATCCTTTCTACTTTCTCACTATGTACAAATAATGTCAACATGCCTACTAAAAGCTACCCTTCTTATGAGGCTTCTGGGATGCACATTCTGTTGACACACAGGCTCTAGATGCCATTTGGGAAAATAAGTGGTGGAGTTAGATATGCCATAAAATGAAGAGTTTGGAGGTTTGCAGAAGTCCTCACCCTGAAATTCTCTGGGAAAACTCAGTTACATGTTGATGAAGAATAGTAATAATTGAATCGCATTTTCCAACAAAGTGGGCTATCAGCTTTCCTCTTTGAAGAAAGGTAATTTTCCACTTAACTTAGAAATAAAGTGGTGCTAGCAATAGTAATAATAGAAGAAAAGAAGTTGCTTTTCTTCTATTATGTGCATGTTACATATATGTACACACACATATAAACTAACTTTTCTGAATAATTATAATTGATGTACATTGAACTTTTACTCTGTACAAAGCCCTTAACATATATTATTTGATCTAATTTTTCCAAGAACTTAATGAAATAAGTATGTTGTTATCCACTTTATAGGTTGCAACTTAGAATAGCTAATAATCACACAAGGTCATACAGCTAGCAAGCAGAAGAACTGAAGTCAAAATCGCTCCAGATCTCTTGTTCTGAACTATTATGTTGTATTAGCTGTCAGTATAATATTACAACTTGAGGATAAAATCTGAAGGACAATAATAAAAACTATTCCAGAATTAAGATCTTGGGTAGTCTCTATTTTCCACTTTTCAATGTGCAATTGTAATTCAGTAATTCTGCTAGTAGAAACATAGTTCTGCAGAATCCTTTGATTGTTACTACCATGGTAGAGGAAGGAACAGGCAGTTATCCTTGATTTCATTTCTGAGAACTCCATTTCAACAGCATGAGATTTGCTTGACATACAGTGAACCCTTCAAGCAAACATGTTCCCTTGAACATTCAACAAATAATCTAATTTGGAAACACCAAATACCACAAGGAAAAAGTAGTACTTTTGTTCTATTTTCTGACAGATTTCCACACCAGTGATTTATGGACGTATGTTAAGTTTAGGATTCTTATCTGAAGCCAAGAAAAAAACCTTTATATTTTTGAAGCCTATCATCCTCAATGATGGAAGCCAAACCCTTGGAATGTTGCTAAAATCAAGGATGAGAGAATACAGAATGTCATGTACTATCAAGAACTTATTGACTTTCATATGGTTCTCATTTATTCTCATACATGGCAAATTGAAAGCCTTGGGAGGAAGCCAATACAAATTGTTACAGATAACACTATCTAAATTTAACTGCCATAGGTATGCTTCATATAATAAATATATATTTCATATCAGCAACTCAGCAAGGCAAAAATTGAAACAGACTCTAGTCAAAATTCATTTGGACACAATCCTTCAGAGAAGACTCAATTTGCCAATATAATTATTTATCTTGGTCTGGAGAGCCCTTAATACTCAATTTTATGTTTCTGACTCTAGAGATTTTATACACACACACATATATATACACATACATATATACACATAAAATACTCTATGGAAGTTAGAACATTGAAATCATAACAATATCTTAGGGTAATAAAATTAAGTTTGAATACATGAAAGTTTAGTACCTGCCTGCAGAATCAAATAGATTAATTTGTTGATATTTTCAAATTTTTAAAGACATTTTTGCAACAGAATTTTTTCTTGGTTTAATGGGTTCAGTTTGAGGCATCATTTGAGCATTAAAGGCTGTGGCATGACATTAATTTTTAGCCTAGTGTGATGGTTCATTTATCAAGTGCTTAACAGAGTATCTAGTATACAATAGGCTAGTAGGCATACAATTAGTCTTTGCCAAATGAATATTAAATGTATTGTTGGAGGACAAATGAACAATATTATCTATTTCAACAATTGTAGCAGAGATTCTGTGCAACATGCAGTTGCTTTCCATTTAGATTAATGTTTCTCTGAAACAGAAAGTTTTGTAGAGGAAAGTCTTATCTAACACATAGACAGATTCAGGGCCCAGCACATAGAATAAACCCATAATTGTTGAATAATACACATTTATAATGTAAAATCACTATGGGTAACAAAGGAATCCTATTATACACTTTCCTACTCTGGATAAAGAGAAATATATATATTTACATACATATATACACATACTTAATTATTAAATGGATTAATTATATACATATATAAATATGAATATAATATATATAAATATGAACACAATATATAAATACAAATATGAATACATATATACATATATTTATATATACTTATGAATACATATATACATGTTTATATATACTTATAAATACATATATACATATATTTATATATGTATATAAACAAATTTATTTATATATATACACATATATTTATTTATTATCTGGCTTACTAATACTTAAAGAATTAATAAATGCCAAAGCCAGGGATATGACTAAAAAACTAAGATATCTTTCCTTTTAAGATAGCTATGATTGCATAACATGAGACACTGTGGTTGCATAATATCATTCAGTGACTTAAAACAACAAAAGTCACTTATTTCATGTTTTTTGCAGGTCAGGAATTTATACATGGGAAAGCTTGTCTCTGCTCCATGTTGCCTAAACTTCAGATGGAAGACTCAAACTCTGGCATTGGATTCTTCTGAATATTTATTTGTTCCTCTATCTGGTTATTGGTGTTGGCTATTATCGGGGATTCAGCTAAGCTCACACGTGCCTTCACAATGTGGCGGTTGGTTCCAAGTACAGACATCTGAAGGGAGGGGAGGAGAAAGAGGAAGGATGTGAGATTTTACCCTACTTACAAGCCAACAATTTGGCCTGCCACATTTTCATGGATATTGGCAGTTGTCATGAGGTTTCTGGGTCAGAGACAAAGAATAGTTTGGTACTCACAGCAGTGGCAGTATCCAGTGTCACCATTTTCATACACGAATTCCCCAAGGCCTAATTTCTACAAAGTTCTGCAAAGAGAGCCAAGTCTTGCCTGCATATGCAATGAGTTTTGTTGAAGAAAAGGAAACTCATGTTTAAGGAACTACAATCTTTTATAATTGGCTGCAAGCAAAACTGCCTAACAATTTCTTCAGAGAGAAATGTCTTTATCATATCGGAGAGTTAACAAATCTACCATTTGCTGCAAAGGGGAGTACTATGTCTTTATTCCAAGGTTATTTACCATACAAATATCTTTGAAAAGATAATGCGGAAAAGAGGGCAGTTAGTGCCTCTGCTTGAAAGATATGCAGAAACATGAAAGACCCATAGAGAATCTTTTCCTCCGAAAGACTCCTTTCAATCTTTGTGGTTAAGAACAATGAATAAATTTAATGTAAACTCATTAAAAGATTTAACCTCAAAAAATTTTAATATCCACATTTAAGATTTCTTTAGGAGAGAAGAAATCAACTCCCTTACCCTCATCCTCCTTTGGTTAGGAATGACTACACAGCATAGAAAACTTGGGACTGTTAGGCATTAAACAATCAAAAGATTCTTCTCAAATTAAGATAATAGCTTACATGAATATTTTATGAAAAATAGCCACATTTGATAGGCTTTTCATTAAACCTATATATAATTTGGGTAGAATTCACACCTTTACAATGTTGAGTTTTTCAATCCACACATACGGTATGCCTCTTTGTTTATCTACATCTTCTCTGATGTCTTTCATTAGCATTTTGTAATTTTTAGCATAAAGATCTTATACAAGTATTTTTTTAATTTGTACTTAAGTACTTCAATTCCCTTGGCATAATTATAACTGATATATATATATGTGTATATAGATATACATATATATTATTTATTTATTTATTTATTTATTTATTTATTTATTTATTTTTGAGAACTCTGTCACCCAGACTGGAGTGCAGTGACACAATCTCGGCTCACCGCTACCTCTGCCTACCAGGCTCAAGCTATTCTGCTGCCTCGGTCTCCTGAGTAGCTGGGACTACAGGAGTGCACCACTTCTGTCCAGCTAATTTTTGGATTTTTAGTAGAGACAGAGTTTCACCATGTTGGCCAGGCTGGTCTGGAACTCCTGGCCTTAAATAATCTACCAGCCTCAGCCTGACAAAGTGCTGGGATTACAGGAGTGAGCCACTTCTCCTGGCCCTAATATTATATTTTTAATTTCGGTTTCTACCTGTTAATTATTGAAACATGGAAATGTGATTAATTCTCTTGGGTTTGGTTATATATTCTACTATCTAGTTGCATTCATACATTAGTTCTAAGTTTTTATTTTGTAGATGCTTTGGGATTTTTCTATGTAGACAACCATGCCATCCCCAAACTGTGAAATTTTTACTTTTTTCCCTTCCACTTGTATGCATTTTTATTTCTTTTTCTTTCTTTATTACTCTGGCTAGAATTTCTCCTACTATGCTAAATAAAGTTGTGAGCAGACATCTTTCCATTGTTCCCAGTCTTAGGAAGAAAGCTATCAGTCTTTCACTACTAAGTTTGATGTTACCTGAAATTTTTTGTAGATATTCCTTATCAAGTTGAAGATATTCCCCTCTATTTCAATTTTTCTGAGAGTTTTTTTTCATGAAAAAGTGTTGAAATTTTTCAGATTTTTTTTCTGCCTCAATTAGAATGATGATTTTTTTTTTCTTTTTGATTTGGTGATCATACTGATTGATTTTTGAATATGGAATTTGTCTTGCATACCTGGGGCAAAATATGCATTGTTCATGGTGTGTAATCATTTAATACATTACTGAATTCAATTTCCTATGATTTTGTAGAGCAATTTGTGTTGAACTTTCTGACACATAGATAGGTGTAGTTTTTGCCCATCTTTTACTTCTTTAATTTTTCTTTATTTTCTTTGTTGGGCTTTCGTATCAGGATAATACTGGCCTCATAAAATAAGTTGGAGAACATTCTTTTTTTATTTTCTGAAAGAGATTGTATAAAATTGTGCTAATTCTTTTGTAAGTGTTAGAGAATTCTCTAGTGAAATTACCTAGGCCTGGAGATTTCTCTCTCAAGCTATTTTAAATTATAAACTCTATTTAATAACTACACAACTATTTAGTTTATTTCAAGTTGGTTCATTTTGGTAATTTGTAGCTTTTGAGGAATTTCTCAATTTTAAAAGAATTGTCAAATGTGTGAGTATAAAAATAGTTTGTATTATTCCCTTGTTGTTCTAATCATTATGAAATAATACCACTTGTTTCATTACCAATGTTTATGATAATTGTCATGACTATTTTTTGGATTTTTAACACTTTTATTAACTTTTTGGGATAAAATTTTTGTTTTGTTGGTTTTCTCTATTGTTTTTCTGTTTGATTCTTGTTTGTGTGTGCTGTTTATAATTTCTTTCATTTGCTTGCTTTGGGTTATTATTTTCTCTTTTTTTCTAGTCTCTTAAGGAGCTTAGATTGTTTATTTGAAGCATTTTCTCTTTTCAAAAATAATCATATAGTATTATAATTTTTCTTTTATTGCTATTTTAGCTGCATCTCATTAATATTGATGTTTGTTTTAATTTTCTTTCAATTCTCTGTATATTTTATTTGACTTCCTTTTTTATCCATGGATTATTTAAAAGTGTGTTTTTTAATTTTCAAATGTTTAGAGATTTTCCTCTTGTCTATCATTGATTTCAAATTTGATTCTATTAAAATTAAATAGTATATTCTGCATGATTTCGATTATTTTAAATCTACTGAGGTTAGTTTAGTGAGCCAGCATATGGTCTATCCTGGTGAATGTTTGGTGGACAATTAAATAGACTGCATATTGTGCTGTTATTGAGTGGAATGTTTTATCAATGTAAGTTGAATCTTATTGGTTGACAGTGTTTTTCCATTCTCCTCTATCTTTGCTCTCTTTTTATCTAATGCTTCTATTTCCTGCTAACAGTGGGAATTTGAAGTTCTCAACTACAGGTATAGATTGGCCCATTTCTTCTTTCAGCTCCATCCAATTTTGCTTTGTGTATTGAAAAGCTCTGTTTTTTTTTTTTTTTTTTTTTTTTTTTGCACATACACATTTAGGACACGATGTCTCTTGTTAGATTAATCCTGTCATTACTATGTAATACCTTTCTTTGTCCCTACTAATTTTCTTTGCTCTTAAGTCCACTTTATGTGTTATGCAATTATATATATATTACATATATTTATATGTAATATATATCATTATATATTGTATTGCCTCAGAGCTAAAGCAATTTTACCTCCTAAGGTAAAATAGAGTATGCAAACAAATATTGGCCAAATACCTTACTTTTAAAAATTAATGTTTGCATAACATATTTTCATCCATCATTTTATTCTTAACACATCTGTGTCATTATTTTTGAAGTGAGCTTTTGTAGATTCAATGTAGTGGGGTCATCGTTTTTATCCATTCTGTCAACCTCTGTCTTTTAATTGATGTATTTATTCCATTTATTTGTCAAGTAATTATATTATGGCTTAAGTCTGCTAATTTACTGTTTGTTTTCTGTTTCAAATTATGCCCTTTCTCTTTTCTTGCTTTTCTGTGGGTTCCTTGACCTAGTTTTATTTTAGAATTACATTTTTGTTTATAAAATTTTTGAATAATTTTGTATAATTTTCTTAATATGTGCTCAAGGTATGACAATAAACACTTGCAACTTCAAAAAGACATGCAAACTCTTAAAATGTTTATGTGAACAAATATTATCTTCTTTACCTGTGGCAAATGATAACTGGGCTAGAGATTTTTATAAGTTCTTCCAGTTCTAACAATCTGTATTATGTGATATTTACTGTTATAAATCTATTAAAATTTGAAAATGACAGTGCTGTATATAACAAAATAAAAGCCTATGACTCTATCCATGCTACTTAGCAGGGCTTTTTGAACTGGTTTGTCCAGAGTTTAAAGAGTTATTTCGAAACTATTCAGGACCCTCTTGCTTGCTTGTGGTAATTCAGAATTATTCAGTACATAAGAGGAGTTTTAAGCACTTGTGTTCTTCGTGCTCTTAAAAATAAATGCACCCTAATTTGCTTCTTGTATTTTTTATAATTTTACATAGTAATAAAGACTTCAATAGTTTTAAGATTTGTAAAAGTCACTATTGTAATATAAGCTGACACCTGTGATTGGTTTATTTGGTTGTAGATCACTGAACAACTGAGAAAAGAAAAACAAAAGCACAGAGTTAGCAAAGTTTCTATTATCACCAATATAGGCCAAAAATTCCACGCATTTATTCAGTGGCAACAAGTAATGTAGGTTTTTTGTTGTTTGTTTGCTTTTTCTGAGATATCTACTCTGTGCCAGGCATGATTTGAGGCCTCAGCTATGTTGGTGAAATAGGCAGGTAAAGACTGTAGGGAAGATGGAATTAAAGTTACTGTTGAAGCCCGAAAAAATTCTAGTTCTTTTTGATCCTTCCAAGAGCTCAGATGCTAAGATGATTTGTTGTTCCCACAATCCATGCATCATTAAATAAACCCATAATCACTAAGTAAACTATATATTTTCTGTTCTTTACATTCTGAAAGCTTCTAAGGGACACCCTTAGCCATGATACTGTATGGTCTTGAAAATTTGGCTAAAATCATTTCTATTTGTATACCTCTGGATGTTTTAAACACTACAGGGCTTTTAAAAAGTGACATTTTGAATAGATAAGAAAATAAACATTGGTATCAGCAAATATTAGATATTACTGTGAGTTCTTGCTGTTATGCTTGTTAAAAAGTATCATGATGGAAAGAAATCAGGATTTAGAATCAAACAAATCTGTGTTCAAGACCCTTAGCTGTTTTTGTTAGTTGAATTCAATGCTGGCTGAACTCTAAAGACTCAGTTTTTTCACCATGTAAACAATAATCATTATATAAAGCTAATAGAGCTGGAAAGATAAAGTATTATGGGTAAACTGCTTTCCTTAGTTTATCTACTTAAGTAGTGCTATTTCCTTTCTTTATTTACTTACCTTGATCCAAGTGAAAGCCTAGTTTTAGGATTTACTTTTACCAAAATTGTACTCTGAACCAAATGAGCTCAAAAGTTCAACTTTGAAAAGTCAAAATCATAGAAAATTTTTACATTGAAACTGCTCAATAATTGTTTTCAAAATGCACAGCAGGACTTCTCTTATTTACCATGGTGAATAAAATGACTTTAGTTTTTGACATTTGAAGTATATAATAATAAAAGTTATAGAAGTTAGAAAGCTTCCTTCAGGGAAATGGAATATTTTTACTTCCTATGAAAGTGATATTTTGGTCTCAATTTAAGTAACACAAAACTTAGTTTTCATTTCCTGGTTTTAAATGATAAGCTGTATATTCCTAGTTTACAGTAAACCACATATTTTTAGAGAGTTAGAAACGTTGCTTCAAAGTGGTAGATATTAAGTGTCATAAATGTCCAGGCTGTAAGTATGGTTTCCTGTTGTGTAAGACATAAGTTATTAGGTTTAGTTTGAAATGACACAAAATGTTCCCGACTTCTAACAATTAAAAGAAGAAATGTGAGGCTCCGAGACAATCTCGGCAAATTTGTATTCTGATTAAAATAATTATTTGATCCTATACAGTTCAGTGCATGGAAAAATGTTGTCTAGTTACTCAATTCAATGTGGTTGTTAGAGAAGAAAATATGTCTCTTATGTGGGGTTTGAGCTTCATGTAGCTTTGTGATTGTATTTGTTTACTCACGGTGGAAATCTCCTTATTAAATTGTGGGCAAGAGGCAACCCATGGTGGAAATCTCCGTATTAAATTGTGGGCAAGAGGCACTTCTATTGGTTTTTCTAACAGTAACTACTTACTTCAGGAAGGATTAGGTTAAAATACTAAATGTAGATCTCTAGAGTTGATCTTGTAACAGAACTAGAACACATTGACTTGATATTTAGACATGTGCAGAAGGCAAACCATTTCATAAAGGGCTGGATATAATTTCTTCTTTCAGTTCTAAGTCAAAATTTAATAATTTTTTTCTATTTTTAATAAATATATGGGCATATGCATCTAATAGTGAGGTTTGGTAAAGACTCTTCTTCACTTTAGTTTTGCATGTGTGGGCAACTGACCTTTATGTTGTTACAAAATACTACTTAAAAATAAAAAGCTCAATTCTGTACAGAAATGAGCCATTGTTCGTTGTTAGGCTCTCATTAGCTGTTATAGTATCAACACTATTGTCAACATGATGTGGATCTTGAATTGTTTTCCCGTCTCCACTGCTAACTGTGTGTTCCTCTTGTTCTTCGGGCCAGTTGAACCATACATCTTGTGTCCTAAAACCATATGGAGCATGTTTTTGTATGAACTCTCATGATTAAGGACATCTGTCTCAGCCTCTACGTTTGCCTTCAGGGGATCTTTGCATCATTTAATGGTACAGTTAACAGCATGTTTTGCATCATGAAGTTGGCCGTACAGTTTTTCTGCGGATTCTACTGTTTTCATTCCTTAAAAAAACACATGGACGAGTCTATATTTTGTCTTTCTGTCTCCCATTCTAACTTTCTTGCTTTTCTTCCTCCCTCATTCTCTTTCTTTTTTTTTTCTATTAATATTTACTGGCCATCACCTTGTGTTTAGCAGGTCTTATAATATTCCAAAATTGCACATTTTCAAAACTGTAAAGATTGACCACAATTTCTAAATGTAATTCACTTTTCCTTTCAATTGCTTGTTTTGAGTGTAATTTGGATACCCTAAAGTTCATGTGTTACTTTTCTATTTATTTTGAGTAATATGATTCAGATTCAACTCCTTTAGATATTACTGAAAATATTCTTAAGTGAATTGATACAAAATATCCACATTCCTCATAAGTTATCAAACCAAAATGTTGCTAACTCTATACTGAAATTCTACTAATTCTTCTGACTGTACAGATTGATTCGTCAGTATATATTAGCAAGTATTTAATTAAAATCTATTTTAATAACTTTAAATGGATATAGTAGCACTCTAAATAGGAAATGCAGTCATTGAAACTCTCAAACACTAGGGAATAGATATAAAATATGTGCATTTAATCAATTATATGTTGTTGATTTTTACTTTATAATCTATGACTTCCTTTGTTGATGTCAATATTGACTTTCTTTAAAAATCTCTAAATTATGAAAAAGTCTAAGTTATTGTAATCTACATTATAGACTTTTTCTAGTATGTTTTACTCATAGGTAAATTGTTACTAGTCCCATTAATTGCAAAATGCAGTGGTCATGTGTTTCCAAATAATTTCAAATTGTAGAAATAAATACAGACAGTCTCCATGAAAGCATATTGATTCAAGAATTCTATTTATTGATATTTATTTACTCTTCCTAACATTTATATTTACTCTTCATAGTGCATAATGTTTGTTCAGCAGAAATATCATCAAAAAACTATTGATGTGCCAGTTACCATGATGCACCGAAGATACAGAAACGAACAAGATGTCCCCACTCTGGTGAAGGAGTCTATTTGTTGTTGGTATTGACAGTGTGAGAGGCAGATGTAGAAACAAGATTGACAGACTTTGTATTTAAAGGTGTAAGTTTCATAAATGGATACATAGAAAAATGAACACGTTTAAATTAATGATGTAAACATGTTAATATTCCCAAATACAAATATAAGTCTGTACAGTGACTTGCTTTTTTAAAAAGCATTGAAGTGGAATTTGCATACCATGAAATTCACCCATTTTAAGTGTATAATATGTTGATTTTTGACAAATTTTAAAATCTTGCTAGCATCAACACAGTCTAGTTTTAAAACCCGTTCCTCACTCCAGAATGTTCCCTTGTGCCCTTTTGCAGTCCCTCACTCCACATTCCAGCCCCAAACAATCACTGATCTGCTTTTTATCTCTGTAGATTTTCCTTTTCTAGATATTTCATGAAAATGCAATAATAAATAATGTATAAATCATTAAAGATTTATAGCAAATGTAGTTTTGTTACCCTTTTTTCATGTTTCTCAAATTGTTTGTACAAGGAAAATTATTTCAGTTGGTATTTTGAAATGTGGGAGAGGCCTTTGACTAAGAACTTTAGGAGTAACACCCCTAACTCTCATTATCTTCATTTTACAGATATGAAGACTGTGCTTTATAAAAGATCAGACATTTGGCTAATGACACTGCTACTAAGTGACAACAGAGATTTAAAACTAGTTCTGTCTAATTCTAAATCCACTGATACAGTTTCTCAGAAAGTTGAAAAACTTTTAACATTATAAACTCATTGATAGTGATGGATATTTGTTCTTTTGTTGTTTAGTGATTACCTCAAGATCTACAACAATGATCAGCAATACAATGGGAGTTTTAGTTGTAATCAGCTGTTTCATATTTTAATAATTATTAAACACTCATGTACCAAATACAATGCTAGCTGCCTGAAATTACAAAAGGAATAAGGTTTGATATAAAGTACCACATAGGCCAGGCGCAGTGGCTCACATGTGTAACACCAACACTTTGGGAGGCCGAGGTGTGTGGACCACCTGAGGTCAGGAGTTCGAGACCTGCCTGGCTAACATGGCGAAACCTTGTCTCTACTAAAAATGCACTTAGCTGGGTGTGGTGGCAGACACCTATAATTCCAGCTACTTGGGAGGCTGAAGCAGGAGAATTGCTCGAACCCTGGAGGCGGAGGTTACAGTGAGCCGAGATTGTGCCATTGCACTCCAGCCTGGGAGAAAGAGCAAGACTCTGTCTCAGAACAAAAGGTACCATGTAGTTTTCACTTGTTCTAAAAATCTCCTCTCATTGTGTAACTCAAGTATAAAAATCCATATTACATCTGAAAAAGGAGTTATTCTTCTGAACTCTCTCTACCCTCCTTAAAGCCAAGTATATGCCACTTTGCTATGTCAGTTGATTTGACTTATATTTGGTACACAGATTGCATTTTTTTTTTTGTAGGACAGAAGAACTCCCTGTCAAGCTAGTTTAACTGTATTACATCTACCAATATTCAATTATTTAATTTTTTCAAAAGTGAATGCAATCATAATACATCCAAATACAACCTGAAACTGTTGGGAAGTAATGCTTAGGACAAAATTTCAATCTGGTTTACTGGAAAATTTTAGCAATAAGTAAAAATCTTAATGTGTTTCCATATGCATGGTTTCACACACTTTTTATCAAGTACTAGAAAAACACTGAATGCTAATGCCATTGAATTTTGCTGAATTAGTGTACTATATAACTCCTTTCATATTAAAGATTTTACCCACTTAACCTCACCAGAAGTAGTGTTTTCACAGTGCATGATTATGACAAAGATAGAATGATAGGGAGAGGGGAAAGTGCCATCAGGTTCAGGGTCAACAGAAAATAAAACTCGTTCTCTTTTTGTAATCAGTTATAATTCCCATTTCAATCAAAAAAATTATTGTAAAGTATTTTCTTGAAATTTGCTTAAATTTTTCATTTTTAACAAGAAACGTTATTTATAAAACACATTACTTGTGTGCATATAGGTGTTGGGTCTGAGAAAGTATACATTATTAATTTGATGTGTTATTAAAAGATTGCTGTCAAAAATCTGTTTAGTTAATTGATGCTGTCAATTGCTCGCATTAATACCTAATACTCATAATATTTGTACCTAAATTTTTCTTATAAAATTGTTTCTCATTGGTTTTTATTCTTTTTATTTCTCCTATTTTTTAAAATTGAAGTTTGTAGTCAGGTCATGTGACCACATCAAGTCCATCATTCAAACACGTATCAGGAAATTGGAAATTTAAAAATGACTTATGCATGGATATGATGCCAGAGGCAGAGACAAGGGGGTGGGGGCTGTTTCTAAATACCTTCCAATAACAATAAAAAAACGGAAGTTATTTGTGATCTTAGAAGATGGCTAAGGAAAAACTGAAACCTGAAACTGAGGAAACAAAAGTTTAGACAAGATAATCCCAACATCAGAGAAAGCATTTGTCATTGTCAGAACTCCAAAGAGCAAGAAAGCTTTAATCCATTTCATGGACCCTAGGACTCATGGTCTAGTAATTCTTATGTCACCAAACCATCTTAGGATCTGTATGAAATTACAGTGTGTCACCACTCTACATCTGCAATCTTAATGTTTCCGTCCTTTGATTGTATGACAAGGAAACTCTTGAACCAGAGCACTGCACTTCACAGGAGTCTGAAAGAACCAGCTGCTCATAATTTTGGAGTTTTATAGGGCTTTTTAGTCTCAGAATCCCTGTCTGACCTATGTCCATATCCAGAATTCATTTTTTTTCATTTCCAGAATTCTTCAGAAAAAACTCTTGCTGTCTTTTAACGTCTTAAAACATTTTTCAAAAAATATATAGAGAGAATTAGAAAGCCACTCATAGACTTACCCTCTTTCTCCGTTGCTTCTTCAGTTGTGTAATAGTCATGAAATCTGGAATGACCATTTTAAATTATATTCACTGAGTTTGAAACAAAACGTTTTTAGATGGTTTTGTTCCCTTAAAAATGAATATTATTGTCTAGCATTAACATTCACCCAAATTGATAGCATATTGAATTATGTGTGTAGATTCTTAAACGTTTTGTTGTGAAACATCAAAAGAAATCACTGACTTTTTATTTAACATAAATAAATTAAGGGAAGTTTAGAAATCTAATTGTTGGAAAAATAAACTTCTAAACATAACTCTTCAAAAGTCTACGTGCTCACATTTTCTATTCCCGAACAAAAACTTTTGCAAAGCTCTCTGAAAGCCTTGTAAAAGGCCAATGAATTTCATTTAGCATTAATTTCCCTACTCACCACATAGCAAATATATGACACAACTTATAGTTCTGTTAAAAAAAAGCCAGAACTGTTACCTGAGCAACTGCTTATAAAAGAGCGAGGCAGCTTACGTTTTATCTATTTTTTGTGTGCTTTCTACTAAGTTTTACAATCTAAGTGTGTTAGAAATAAAATCAAATTCATTAGGAATCTCTATGCATAAAAGGAAATTAAATATCATACTCAATGACTTGTGCCACCTGTGGCAAATAGTTTTACATGCCAATTTGTGTTTTCAGGGTTTTTTTGTTTGGTTTCTTTGGTTTGTTTATTTGTGTGGCTTTTTCTTTTTTTTTTCTTAAGAAAGTGTCTCTTTGTCATTCAGGCTGTAGTGCAGTGGCACAAACATAGCTCACTATAACCTCAGACATTTGGCCTTAAGCAATCCTCCTGCGTTGGCCTCCAAAGTGCTAAAATTATAGGCATGAGCCCCCAAGCCTGGACTTTTCCTTTTTTAATTGCTGACCAATAATAGTTACCATACAAATTTCAGTTATGGTCCATGGTTGATTCATTTTTAAGATCACAATAAATGTATATTCTTAAAAATTATTTCTACAAATTATGAATATTTAAATGAAAATACAAAGGGTTCCTTTCATTAAGTTTGGGAGATGTTATATGCTCTATATCACCTGTTGATGAATCTCTATGTTTGTTCTTAACTTTTCCAGAAAGTTCAGTACTAAAGCATCTGTTTAATGGTGTTCATTCTACATCATTCAAATTTATTTAACCAGAGAATGCTTTTCACTAGGTATCTGTTTTGCAGAACACACACTGGGAAATGTTGTCGGGTACTGTACTGAATCACACTACAACATTTTGTACTGACATGATGGTCAAAGGTTGAAATGTTTTTCTTATTTGTTTTCTTATACATTTAGAAAGTTAATGCAAAATATATAAGGTACCTTGTCCATCAAGAGACTTGTCATCTATCATAGCGTGTATGTGTTGCTCTCTCTTTTCCTAAGATGCTGCATATCCCTCTTCTGTTGATTCAGTAGAAAATTTTATGATTATTTTTCCCTTATATCCAAATGCAAAGGAGTTTAATCTTAAAGACATCTTCTTAAAAGCTTCTTAAAAGAAGCTTAATCGTTCCCTTTGAAAACCGGCACAAGACTAGGATGCCCTCTCTCACCACTCCTATTCAACATAGTATTGGAAGTTCTGGCCAGGGCCATCAGGCAAGATAAAGAAACAAAGGGTATTCAAATAGGAAGAAAGAAAATCAAATTGTCTCTGTTTGCAGATGACGTGATTCTATATTTAAAAACCCTATCATCTCAGCCCCAAAACTCCTTAAGCTGATAAGCAACTTCAGCAAAGTCTCAGGATACAAAATCAATGTGCAAGAATCACAAGCATTCCTATACATCAACAATAGACAAGCAGAGAGCCAAATCATAAATGAGTTCCCATTCACAATTGCTATAAAGAGAATAAAATACCTAGGAATACAGCTGACAAGAGATGTGAAGAACCTCTTCAAGGAGAACTACAAACCACTGCTCAAGGAAATAAGAGAGGACACAAACAAATGGAAAAACATTCCATCCTTATGGATAGGAAGAATCAATATCGTGAAAATGGCCATATTGCCCAAAGTAGTTCATAGATTCAATGCTATTCCCATCAAACTACCATTGACATTCTTCACAGAATTAGAAAAAAACTACTTTAAATTTCATGTGGAACCAAAAAGAGCCTGTAGAGCCAAGACAATCCTAAGCAAAAAGAACAAAACTGGAGGTATCATGTTACCTGACTTCAAACTATATTAAAAGGCTACAGTAACCAAAACAGCATGATACTGGTACCAAAACAGACATACAGGCCAATGTAACAGAACAGAGACCTCAGAAATAACACTGCACATCTGCAACCATTTGATCTTTAACAAACCTGACAAAAACAAGCAATGGGGAAAGGATTCCCTATTTTATAAATAGTGCTGGGAAAACTGGCTAGCCACATGCAGAAAACAGAAACTGGACCCCTTCTTTACACCTTCTACAAAAATTAACTCAAGATGAACTAAAGACTTAAATGTAAAACCCAAAGCCATAAAAACCCTAGAAGAAAACCTAGGCAATACCATTCAAGACATAGGCATGGGCAAAGACTTCATGACTAAAACACCAAAAACAATGGCAACAAAAGCAAAAATTGACAAATGGGATCTAATTAAACTAAAGAGCTTCTGCACAGCAAAAGAAACTATCATCAGAGTGAACAGGCAACCTACAGAATGGGAGAAAATTTTTGCAATCTACCCATCTGACAAAGTTCTAATATCCAGAATCTATAAGGAACTTAAACAAATATACAAGTAAAAAACAAACAACCCCATCAAATAGTGGGCAAAGGATATGAACAGACACTTCTCAAAAGAAGACATTTGTGCCACCAACAAACATATGAAAAAAAGCTCAACATCACTGATCATTAGATAAATGCAAATCAGAACTACAGTGAGATACCATCTCACACCAGTCAGAATGGCGATTATTAAAAAGTCAAAAAGCGGACAGGCACAGGGGCTCACACCTGTAATCCCAGCACTTTGGGAGGCTGAGGTGGGCAGATCATGAAGACAGGAGTCCGAGACCAGGGGTTCGAGACCAGCCTGACCAACATGGTGAAGTGGTGAAACCCCATCTCTACTAAAAATACAAAATTTAGCCGGGTGTGGTGGTGCGCACTTGTAATCCCAGCTACTCAGGAGGCTGAGGCAGGAGGGGAATTGCTTGAACCCGGGAGGCAGAGGGTGCAGTGAGCCAAGATCGTGCCACTGCACTCCAGCCTGGGCAACAGAGAGAGACTTCCTCAAAAAAAAAAAAAAAAAAAAAAAAAAAAAAAACTTCCAGAAGTAATAGAAGCTGGAGAGGCTGTGAAGAAATAGGAATGCTTTTACACTGTTGGTGGGAATGTAAATTAGTTCAACCATCATTGAAGACACTGTGGTGATTCCTCAAGGATCTAGAACCAGAAATACCATTTGACCCAGCAAGCCCATTACTGGGTATATACCCAAAGGATTATAAATCTTTCTACTATAAAGACACATGTACGTTTATTGAAGCACTATTTACAATAGCAAAGACATTAAACCAACCCAAATAGCAATTAATGATAAACTAGATAAAGAAAATGTAGTACATATACACCACGAAGTACTGTACAGCCATGAAAACGAATGAGATAAAGTCCTTTGCAGGGACATGGATGAAGCTGGAAGCCACCACCCTCAGTAAACTAACACGGGACAGAAAACCAAGCACCATATCTTCTCACTCCTAATTCGGAGTTGAGTAGTGAGAACACATGGACATGGGGAGAGAAAAAACAGACACCGGGGCCTCTTGGAGGGTGGTAGGGGAGAGGAGGGAACCTAGATGATGGGTTAATAGTGGAGCAAACCACCATGACACACATATACCTATACAACAAACACATGTATCCTGGAACTTAAAGTAAAATAAAATTAAAAATTAAAAAAAGAAGCTTAATCAATGAGGATAGAATTAAAAGTTCATTTTCCCAATGATTCAGCTGGTATGGAACTCAGTTTTTATTTCATTATACTTAAATCAATTTAGTATTATATGTGTCCCTTTTATGTTTCTTATATAATGCAAAGTAAACTTCACTGAGAAGAATATGAATTATTGCAAACTTGGTTGCTATTTTGAAACTTTATAGGTTCATACCAACACAATGTGAGGACACTTTGCAAACACATTAAAACAAATATTAGGTTTTCATACGAGGAAAATGTGCAATTACCAAAGGTAAACTTGAAAATACTATCTTTCAATAAATGGGTCCTCACTTTTATTTGGAATGAGTCATTTTATCCTGAAATAGTGCCCAAAGGCTAGGAGCAGACTGACCCCAAGCAGGACTGCTTGCAAAAACATTGGTTTGGAAATCACTGGGCAGTACTGCCCTAGCACTGTGCCTGGGATAAAGTTTCTTTCATCATTTAAAGTTTCCCATTCACTCTTATCAAGTATGAAATGTAATACCCCTTGTAGTTCAAAGAAATTTTGTTTTGCTTCCCTTTCTCTCAGCGTTGCTCCAGTATTGACCCAAAGCCTCCTTGATAAGTCAGTTAGCCTGATATCACTAAACACGTGGACAGTAAATGTTCTGACAGCCGAGGAAGCCTCGGGGAAAGGAAAAGAAGTAGGAAGCAAACAGCCCCCTGCTGTTTGGGCCAGAATTTACCTCAATTTCACTTCCAGAATGGCAGAGAGAGAGGATTAGTAATGTTCCTTCTGGAGCCATCAGCAGGTAATAGTGCTTTCCTGCTCATCAATTAGGCCCACGGCTGTCACTGCCACCTGGGTCTCCTTGGGGGACTTGGCTGCATCCCAGTGTGTGAGACACAGAGGGAACAGAGTCAGAAAGTTACTGACCACTGCTTAAGCAGAGCCACTCAGTGCTGGGTCATTGGTTGGCAACATATACCAGTACGTTTAGAATCATGATTTTTGACAGAAAATGGAACTCCAAAATATAAGACATAAAATTGAAAGTGATGCCATACAGCAGAATAGATTTGAGGGAGAAAGCATCTCCATATGTACATTTCTTTTTCCCTAAAGACCCTGTTTATTCTGACCTTAGCCTGACCTCTTCTTAAAATCCTGTTGCCGCAAACTGGAGCAATGAGGTCACCTCAATTCTACCTTGACTGCTTCCTGCTAATAGTTTAGAATCCTAAATAGTTCTGCATGCTTCTCTAGGTTGTTTCAGCCAAACCAGCCAGTCACCCTGAGGTATGCAATACAGATGCCATATTAAGACTCATTATGTCTAAAAAAGTGACATGTCGTACTTACAAAGTCAAACTGAAATATGTCTACCTGTGTGGCAATGTTTGGCAAAATTACTATTGAAATCTTCAGAGAGATTTTGGTGATTATACAGTCTCTCATCGGAAACATAGTGATAGAAGTAAAACTGTTTGAATGAAGGTAAGATGGGGCGATGCTAATTTGTATCTACGTCGTCAGAGCTGTTTACGTCAATGTTTTCAAACAAGGCGTTTTATTGAGAATAACACATAGCATAAAGTCAAGATCAGAGTTTGTTTTTCAATGAAGCTAATTCTATCTCATTTTTAATGTATATCTTTAGCCAATGGGGTACAACTGGCCAGTGACCTCTTGGAGAAATAGTGAGCACAGTTCTTCATTTGTCTAATATAAGAGATTGTGTATTACATAGGACTAAGGAAAATTTATCATTGTGACAGGAAAAGATAAATCATCTAATAACTGAATGATACCATATGTAGAAACTTTCAAAAATATTTAGTACTTTCTACCCTTTAGAGTGGCTCACTTTTGTCTGCATCCACTCTCCTTGGTATCTTGTAGTTGAAATCAACAATATAAATTCAGTGACTTCTGCTAGCCTGGAAACAAAGCCCTGATTGATGGTTCTAGCAGGGAATAGGTAGGCACAGATAGGAGCTGAGCCTTTATTTTCAAGTAGCATCAAGCCGGACACAAATCAATCAAATCAGAACTTGCCGCTACCCAGACATGAAGCTGTTCATGGATAATAGGATGCTTCCACTTATCATTTTTATCTTACATCAGGAGATGTTAAGTAATTCCAGTCATCCTTGAATAAAACTGCAGGATGAAATATTCATCACTGTGTTTCAAAACAAAATTAACCTTTCAAAAATCTTTAAACTCTTTCAAATATAAATTTTCCATAACACACATAGTAAGGGAAAGAGGATTTTCCAGGCATAAAAGTGGGAAACAATGATACAAGTTACACATCCTTACACATCATATAGGATAAAACTCACTCATTCTTATCAAAAATAAATATTTCTTAGGTCTGCAACAACTTCAGGTCCAAGAAGCACTTGACAAAACTATTCAGACTTTGTCTTTGGGGAGCTTTAGGTGTCAGACTTGAGCTCTGAAACTCAAGTCACATCCGGAATATCTAGGGAATTACATCAGTCATGAGAAGCAAGTTCATAGTAGCAGAGTTTTGTTTTGCCAGAATATAAGAGTGAATACCAACAGCAATACCTAATATTGCCATGTGTGTACTAGGTTGTAATTACATTGAAGTGGAATGCTTCAAGTTTAGAAATCAGCCTTCATAACCTCACAAGGTGGTTTTTTTTTTTTTTTTTTTTTTTTTTTTTCACTTACAAGGGGCACTGATATTTTTTAGAGCTGGTAGTCACACATCAACAAAATTCATTTTCTCTTATGAGAAACTAAGATTATATCAGAGTGTGTTTATATGTGTGTGCTTCTTCCTTCTACCCTGCAGCTCTTGCTAGTATAAAGCTGCCTCTGATGTGGAAATGTGGATGCCTACCAAAAATAGTGCCACATGCTGCCATTTATGGATGTATCCCAGGGGATGTGAAAGAGGGTTCTCAAGCCCTACTAGTCTTATTTTAGTAAATTCTTTCATCTGTTGTATTTTTCAGTTCAAATCGGAAGAGTTTGTTGCTTGTCTAATACTAGATGATGCATTACATTGAAAATGAGAAATCCACATAGCAACAAGAATACAGTGAAAGCGCAGGCTTCTACTTAAAAGCTGAGTAATACCACATGTAGGATGCTAAATGTTTATAAAACTTTGTGGGTGGGTTCATGGAATCAAGGCCTTTCCTTCGATTTGGAGACCTGTTTACAGCTGTACTCAGTAGAAAGGAAAATATCACTGGGCTTGCCACTTCCAAAATACCACTAGGGAAAGAATGACTAACTTGGCTGGACATTTAGTTTTCAACTTAAAAATAGTATTAATATAGAGTTTATTTTTTTCTATTTCTTGATTGGAAAGTTGGTTTAATTATTGTGTTGCCATTTGGCACTTAACTTTAGCTTTGCATCCTTTGGAAATAAGCACACATTTTATTATATTTTAACATACTAAGGGATTTATGTTGGGTTTAAAAATATGATGGAAGAATTTTATCATGTCAAAGCACAAAACAACCATACCAATAATGCATTATAGGTGATGATCAATGCATTTAGGTTCAGTCCTCCTTAGACCATAAGCATACACCTTCCTGTTTGGGAAAGGTGGAAGTTGTCCATCTGGTTCAGCCTCTACTAACCTTGTAAAGGAAGAGGCTCACAAAAATTCCTTCAAGAAGCTGCGTGCCAGGGTTCCCTAAGACCACCCATAGGCTGGTTCAGCATGAATTTGCCAACTCATTTTGTTTTTATATGTGAAATATTGTAAATAAATGGTAGAAATGTCCATAAATTCAAAGTATACAATGTTTACTTAATCTGCATACTTGTCTTATCACAGACTTACGAGAATGTTTTTAAGGACCTCCACGGAGGAAGATTCCACAGTTTTAATAAGCGATTTATTTTACAATTCAACTAACATGAAGTATATACTATCTGACATATAATCTTTAATATGTAAATTAGTTCCATCTCCTTTTGATAAAATCTGAGTGAAAATAGGAAATTACTTATTCATAATCTTATAAATATTGATAGATTTAAAAATCATTCTTAGGGTTCCATTTAGCTTTCAGCCAGAACGTATATATGTATGTTTATTTTATATATATATTTCAGGTGGGGATTTTGCCAGTTGCTGAATATGCCTATTCAATTGCATCTTCCAGAACTGGGGAAATTAGAGGACCAACTGGGCCAACTGTGAGATAAATTTGAGCCAAAACACCATTGATCACTTGATCCCCATCACCCCCTACTGTGACTGGTAGACTACAGTGACACTTTGGCTCTCCAAGTATTAGTGTCACTAATGCTCTAAATGTTTCTTTTCCTTTCTCCAATGCATAGTCATCTTGGTAAATGGTGACAGGTCCATTTGAACAAGGTTGGAAGAAGAATTAACAGTAAACTTTTGACAGTGTAGCAAGGCTCTTCCTCAACAGGATCCAGGCCCCTTCATTCAAGGGGTTCTGAGTGTACACTGCTATTTACTATAGTAACCTTCCAGTTACCTTAGAATAATATATATTTATTCAATTTATTAACTGTTGTGCAGTATTGAATAGTCATTCACCTAGGAACAAATGTTTTAATTTGTTCCAAGTTTCTAATGCTCTTGCAATGCAACAAATTAGTGCACACTCTCTCTTGAACATGTGTCCTCCTCTTGGTTAGATTCAAAGAAGTCATATGTTGGAACCAAGGAGATATATATATGTGTGTATATATATATATATATATATATGTGTATATATATATATGTATGTGTATATATATATATGTGTATATATATATGTGTATATATATATATCCTTTTTGAAAATTTCTTATTTTCACTCAGATTTTATCAAAAGAGATGGAACTAATTCACATATTAAAGATTATACGTCAGATAGTATATACTTCATGTTGGTTGAATTGTAAAATAAATATATATATATGGATATGTATGATTTCCTATGTTAGAACACACACACTATGTTGCATCCAAATTTAATCACCAACAGTGCTGTGAAAAAGCAAATTTCCTTACCATTGACATCATGGAAAGACAAACGGTAATGGGAAACATAGAGGAGTGGCATTCTCGGCAGTGCGATATCTCCGTTCATGAAAAGAGCTAGTCCTTCTAAGACCACAGACACATGGCTTCCTGTTTGTGAGGAAAGGGAGTTGTACATTTGTTTAATCACACCTCCATCCTTGGAAGAGAACTCAAGAAAACTGCTTTGCTCATTTTCTAATTTGGTAGTTTGTCTTTTAATTGCTGAATTGTAAGAGTTCTTCATATATCCTGTATAATAGTCTCTTTTCAGATATTTGATTTGCAAACATATTCTTCAATTTTATGAATAGTCTTTTCATTGACTTGATAGTATCCTTTGAAGCACAAAGCTTTCCATTTTTAGTTTGTGTTTTGGTGTCACATATAAGAAACGACTCTGTAATCCAATATCATGAAGGCTTATGTCTATATTTTCTTCTAAGGGTTTTCTAGTTTTAACTTTTATATTTAGAATTTGATAACTTTTGAGTTGATTTTTTTATATGGTGTGAGTTGGAAATGCATAGATTTTGGAAATGCAAATTGAATTTTGAAGCATCTTTTTTTGAAAAGATTATTTATTCCCCTTATGAATTTTCTTTGTATCCTTGTCAATACTCAATTGGCCATAAATACAAGAGTTTATTTTTGGCCTCTCAATTCCATTCCATTAATCTATATGTCTATCCATATAACAATTCCCTGTAGTTTTGATTACTGTGGCTATTTATTATGTTTTGAAATAGAGAAAATGTGAGTCTTGCAACTTTGTTGTTCTTTTTCAAGACTGATATGACTATTCTCATTCCCTTACATTTCTATATGAATTTTATTTTTATTTATTTAACATTTAATTTATGGGTAAATAGTAGTTGTATATTTATGAGATGCATGAGATATTTTAATACAGGCATACAATGTATAACAATAACATCAACGTGAATGGAATATTCATCACCTCAAGCATATAGTATCAAATATGGTAAATATGCCACATTTTCTTTATCCATTTGTCAGTTGATGTACACTTAGGTTGGTTCCAAATCTTGGCTATTGTGTACAGTGCTGCAATAAACATAAGCATGCAGATATCTCTTAAATATAATGATTTTCTTATTGGGAGTATTTACCAGCAGTGAGATTGCTGGATCATATGGTAGTTCTATTTTTAATTTTTTAAGGAACCTTCAACTGTTCTCCAGAGTGGCTGTAATGATGTATATTCCAACCAACAGTGTAGGAGGGAGGGTTCCCATTTTTTCATTTTCTTGTCAGTGTTTATTATTGTCTGTCTTTTGGCTAAAAGCCATTTTTAACTGGGGTGAGATGATATCTCATTGTAGTTCTGATTTGCATTTTTCTGATGACCAATAATGAGCACCTTTTCATAAACCTGTTGCCATTTGTAGGTATTCTTTTGAGAAATATCTATTCAAGTCTTTTGCCCATTTTTAATTTGATTTTTTTTCCTATTGAGTTGTTTGAGCTCCTTATATATTCTAGCTATTCATTCCTTGTCAGAAAATAGTTTGTAAATATTTCCTCCCATTCTGTGGGTTGTATCTTCACTTTGTTGATTGTTTCCTTTGCTGTGCAGAAACTTTTTAACTTGATGTGATCCCATTTGCCCACTTTTGCTTTGGTTGCCTCTGTTTTTTGGGGTATTACTCAGAAGATCTCTGCCCAAGAATAATGTCCTGGAAAGATCACCCAATGCTTTCTTTTAGTAGTTTTATAGTTTGAGGTCTCAGAATTCATCTTAGATTTAAATCTTTAATCCATTTTGATTTGATTTTTGTATATGGTGAGAGACAAGGGTATAGTTTCATTCTGCATATGAATATCCAGTTTTCTCAGCACTATTTATTGAAGAGACTGTCCTTTTCCCAATATAGGCTCTTGGCACCTTTATTGAAAATCGGTTCATTGTAGATGTATGAATTTATTTCTGTGTTCTCTATTATGTTCCATTGATCTATGTATCTGTTTTTTGTGTGTTTGTTTGTTTGTTTGTTTTGGAGACAGAGTCTCACTCTGTCACCAGGCTGGAGTGCAGTGGCACGATCTTGGTTCACTTCAACCTCCGCCTCCCTGGTTCAAGTGATTCTCCTGTCTCAGCTTCCCGAGTAGCTGGGACTACAGGCGCGCTCCACCATGCCCAGCTAATTTTTGTATTTTTAGTAGAGACGGGGTTTCACCATGTTGGCCAGGATGATCTCGATGTCTTCACCTTGTGATCCTCCTGCCTCGGCCTCCCAAAGTGCTGGGATTACAGGAGTGAGCAACCGTGCCCAGCCAAATCTATGTATCTGTTTTAATGTAAACATCATGCTGTTTTGGTTACTATAGCAATATAGTATATTTTGTAGTCAGATAATATGATTCCTCTGGTTTTATTCTTTCTGCTCAGGATATCTTTGGCTAGTCTAGATTTTTGTGGTTCTATATAAATTTTAGGATTTTTTTTCTATTTCTGTGAAAAATGTAATTGATATTTTGATATAATTCAATTTCTTTTTGTATTATATATTTATAAAAACTTTCTATTTCTCATTGGGTTATTTTCAGTAGTTGTGTCTTCCTAGAATTGTGTTCATTTCATTGATAATACCTAATGTATTAGCATAAAATTATAAATAATGGCTCCCCAGCAATTATTTTTATTTCTGTAAGGTTGATAGTAATGTGTCTTTTTCATTCCAGATTTTAGTAATTTGACTGTTCTATTACTTTTTTTTCCCTCTTGGTCAGTCATGCTAAATGTTTGTTAGTTTTGTTAATATTTTAAAAGAATCAATTTTTAGTTTTATTGATTTTCTCTATTGTATTCTAGTTCATATTGTTTCTCCTCATTCACTTTTTTCCTATTCTAATTTATTGTCCTTATGCTTACATTGCATTTAGTTTGCATTTCTTTTTCAGTATCTTCAAGTGAAATGATAAATTATTGATTTGAGATCTTTATTCATTTTTAATGTAAGGATTTACTACTGTGAATTTTCATTTCAACACTAAAGTAGCTGCATCCTATAAATTTGATATATTTTGTTTTCATTTTTATTTATCTGAAAGTGTCTTTTTACTTTCCCTTGTAATTTATTCTCTGATCTATTTATTATTTAAATATATTGTTTAGTTTCCACATATTTGTTAACGTCCCAAATTTTATTAAATTATTGATTTCTGATTTCATGTAGTTGTGGTAAGAAAACACACTATATCTAATTTTAATCCTTTAAAATTTACCGAGGCTTGCTGTGTGGCCTCATTTATGGTCTGTATTAAAGAATGTTCCATGTGCATTAGAGGGTAATGTATATTCTAGTGCTGTTGTGTAGAGTGTTCTATATGTGCCTAATAGGTTTAGTTCATAGGATTATTCAAGCCTTTTATTTTCTTAATTTTCTGTCTAGTTATTCCTTGATTTATTGAAGTGGGTTATTGATGCTGATAGCTGTAAATATTTAATTGTTTATTTCTCTCTCAATTCTCTCAGTATATGTTTCACATTATTTTGTGGCATTTTTTAGAACAAATATGTTTATAATTGTCATATTTCCCTGGGTTAAGCCTCTTATCACTATAAAATATTCTTTTTTGTCTCTAGTAACTATTGTTGCATTTTGTTGTATTAAAATATTTTATCTGATATTAGTATAACCAATTCAGATTTATTTATGTTACAGTTGTCAAGCTATATATTTTTCTATCATTTTAGTTGTAATCTATTTGTGTCTCTAAGTTTAAAGGGTATCTCTTATAGACAGCATATAGTTGAATTGTGTTTCTTTTGTTTTGTATTTAATCCATTCTGCCAATCTCTGTCTTTTCTTGTGTTTGAAGTGTTTCATTTGTTTACATTAAGTATAGTTATATGCTAAACTAATAAATTATATCTTATGTCTATCATTTTGTTTCTTTTTGATTTGTCTGTGTCTTTTTTCTCTGTTCTTCTATTAGTGTGTGTGTGTGTGTGTGTGTGTGTTTGTGTGTGCGTGCGTGAGAGAGAGAGACAGAGACAGAGAGAGAGAGACAGAGAGAGAGAGAGAAAGGATATATTTTATTTTTATATCTGGGTAACATAGTTAATTTCCTTACTGTATTTTTTTACTGTCTTTTTGAATTATTTTCTTATTGTTGTCTTAGTGATTTCGGTTTCTAACAATCTAATTCAGATTAAAATGCTACTTAAGTTTGTTTCCAAAATAGTTGTTTACATGTAGTTCTAGTTATTCCCCCCTTTTCTGCTATTATCTCATACAACTTTTTATCTATATACAGCCTATTCCCATCAACAGAGATGTGTAAGTATTGCTTTATGCCGTTGTTTTTGAAATTAGATAAAAGAAAAAAGTAGTTGCAAGCAAAATAATACATTTGTAGGTCCTTTCTACTTAGATACATGTTTACCTGTAACAGTATTCTTTTTTTTTTTTTAATTTAACTTCTATTTTAAGTTCATGGGTACGTATATGTGTAGGTTTGTTATATAGGTAAACTTCTATCATAGGGGTTTTTGTACAGATTATTTCATCACCCAGTTATTAAGCCTAGTACCCATGAGTTATTTTTCCTGATCTTCTTTCTCCTCTCACCCTCTACCCTCTGATAGGCCCCATTATGCAGAGTCGAGTTCTTGTGAAGCTTTCTTTCAATTCTTACTCTGGAGATCTCTTTAGTATTTCTTGTAGGACAAATCTGTTAGCATTAAATATCACCAGTTCCTGTTTACGTAAGACTGTCTTAATTTCTCCTTTTCTGTAGAATAGTTTTCTTGGATATGCAATTCTTGGTTGACTTTTTTTTTTTTTTTAACAAAAGAAGAATAGAGAAAAAAAGGGCCAAAAAGAATATTAGAAGACATAATGATCAGTGATAAATACTAATCTCCACATTCAAGCTCAATAATTTCCAAGTAAAATAACTCAATGACAACTGCACTTAGACACATTATAATGAAACTGTTGAAAGCCAAATTCCCACTGTGCATGTATTGGTATACATGATGGGGTCCCACAGGTGTCTGAGCCTCTATTCATTTTCCTTCATTTGTTTTTCTTTCTGTCTCTGCTACTGGATAATTTCAATTGACCCATTTGCATGTTTACTAATTCTGTCTTCTGCCAACTCAAATTTGCTCTTGAATCTTGAGAATATTTTATTCCAGTTATTTTACTTCTCAACTACAGAATTTCTATTTTTTATTATTTCTATCTCTTTATTGATATTCTCTGTTTGGTAAAACATCATTCTTGTAATTTTATCTAGTTCTTTATACATTATTTCCTTTAGTTATTTGAATGAACTTAAAGCAGCTAATTTAAATAATTAGTCAATCTAACTCTGGGCTTCCTCAGAGATAGCTCCTATTTAATGTTTGTTTATTTCCCTTGGATGTGCTATACCTTTTTATTTCTTTGAACATATAATACTTTTTAATTGAATTCTAGATACTTTAAATAGTATAATATGCCAACCTGAAATCAGCTATCCCCCAGTTCTTTTGTTTTTTTCTCTTCACTTTTGCTGCTGTTTGATTCATGACTTTCCAGGACTAATTTTGTGAAGTCAGAGTTCGAAGTCTCTGATTGGCTAGCTTATGATGACTAATGATTGTACAGAAATTCTACTTGAACCTAAAAGCTTCCAGTCTTTGCTAAGAGGCTCTGTGTTTTTAGAGAACATCCATTCAATGGTTAAGAAAGCAGTTCAAAACTATGACATAGGTTTCATCTCCTGTTTGCATAGAGCCTTAGGATTAGCAAGTGCTGGAAGACTGAGGCCTTCTCAGTTCTTAACTTGACATGTCCAGAGTGCTGGGCATGTGGAAATCCCTTCCCGTGAGTACAAGTTTCTAGATTTCCAGGAATATAATGTAGCCCTTGTTCTTTTAAGTGTTTTAGTCACCTTTTCTTCTGAGCTTATAGCTCAGATTATCCCTTTAAATGTTTTGTTTTCCCCAACTGTTATTGCTGCCTCAGTCAGCAACAGTTTTGAAAAATTGCTGCTTAGGGCGGGCGTGGTGGCTCACATCTTTAATCCCAGCACTTTGGGAGGCCACGGTGGGTGGACCTCTTGAGGTCAGGAGTTTGAGACCAGCCTGGCCAACATGGTGAAATTCCACTTCTACAAAAATACAAAAATTAGCCTGGTGCAGTGGCACATGCCTGTAGTTCAAGCTACTCAGAGGTTGAGGTGGGAGAATGTTTTGAATCGGGAGGCAGAGGTTGCAGCCTGGGTGACAGAGTGAGACTGTCTTAAAAAAAAGAGAATTAAAAAAAAGTTGCTGCTTAATATTTTTGCTGTTTTAACGAAAACCTCCAGGGTAGAGGCTAACCTCACTGATCAGCACTGAGTCGTATCAAATAAAACCAATCCTTGTGAGTGGAATTTTCAAGGCTACTGCAAAACAGATCACATAATAAAAATAATGACAGTTAATTGAGAATGAGGCATTGGAGGAGCTCCAACCCGGTTTTTTTGTTTTGTTTTGTTTTGTTTTTCTGTTTGCTGCTAAGATGCTGGTTGTAAATGTAATTGTGAGACTGTTAGTTTTCAAAGCCACAATGGAACTAGGGATGGGGTGGTAATAGGACAAGCTACAATGTCACAAAGTTGCTATTCTTACTGTGATTCAGCCATCTTCTTAAGGAAATGCTCCCTGGATTATGGAAGCTTTCATCGAAATTCCATAGTTCTGAAAAAGTAGATATTGACAATTTTTGCCATCATTTTCTTTGTTTAATGAAGGACAGGACTTCCAGAGGTTCTTGGTCTTCCATTCTGACTGATGTCTTCCATATGCATTTTAAACGATGATCAAAATCAGTGGTAATAATCAACAAATAGGATAAATCAAACTTTCCAGATAGTCACGTGCAGCAACAATTTCCATTGGTATCTCCTGATTGCCCAGCCTATAGGCACTATCACAACGGAAAGGCAGGGCCATAAAAGAAACCAGAATCCCCCTTCTTTGCAATGCTGGAGTTACTTTTCTACCCTGAGCACAGCTTCAATTTGATAAGAAACTTTAAATTGCAAAAGATAAGATTAGGTGTTTATTTTAAAAACTTTATTGGCTATTTGTTACATTTACTTTTCTATATGCAGTTTAGAGTTACGTGTCAAGTTCCATAAAAATTCCTACAATGGTTTTGATTGAGATGCACTGAATTCCTAGATTAATTTGGTGAGAACTAATCTATTTACAATATTAAGATTTTCCATCCATGGACATTTTATATCTTGCATATGTACAGTTTTTAAATGACTCTTAGTAAAGTTTTATACTTATCTTTATAAATTTTTTGCATATTTCTTTTTAGATTTAGTTGTAGGTCCATACAGTTATTGTACCTGTTGTGAATATTTTAAAAATCAACTATATTTTTTATTATTAGTGTTGGGTTTGGGCTGCTGATCTATTATCTAATAGATCTAATAGATGCTGATTTACTAGATGTCTACTTTTGAGTTTCATTTTTAAGTGCTAATACTGTTTTTCTAATTTTTCTAAGGCTTAATGAAATTATTACATTTAACAAATCAATGACAGCTTTACTTCTTACTTTAAAATCTATGTGACTCCAATTTACTTTTTGAATTTAAAACAATGTTAAAAATTGTGGCGATGGTGGCATCCTCAACTGTTTTTCTATTGAAAAGTTTTGTTGTTAAGGTATGTTACGTTTTGTATATAGTTTTTATCAGGCTAAGGAAGTGTCTTTATATTACAAATAACTTTTTAAATGAATAAATGCTAAGCTTCATCTTTTTTCAGAATCTGTAAAGATACTTCTCTTTTAATCTGGTTATTAAACAGGTTGCTACTTAATTTTATTAATACCTTTTCCTCCTAATGGTTGATTATTTTCTAAACTTTGAACTAAAAAAAATAATTTTTACTCTCTGTTCCCTTAAATACACTGCTGGATATGATATGCCAATATTTTAAATTGTTTTCCATTTTTATACATAAAGTGAGGTTAATCTGTAATGTCATTTTGTTTTGATGTATTTTCTCGTGTTAGCATTGATTAGCATCTTACCATAGTCATAATTTCTCACACCTTTATTCACCTTTGAATTATAAACTCTCCAGATTTTTCATTGCTCAGAAATTATGGGTCTCAGTAGGTACCATAATATTAAACGAAGAGATCTAAACAGTGCTTTTAAAAGTTCATTTCTCTGCATTCACAAATTTATCTTAAGTTAATATTCAGTATCAGTTACTTTAATGTAGAGATCCATTTCTAATGTTCTTATATATAGTCAGTCATTACATCTCTTGTATTTTTATAATATACTCAATTTTCATAAATGGATCATGGGACATTAATTGATATCTCTTTTTGGGGTCGTAAACAAGACTTTTATTTCTACCTGTATGATACAATGCAGGACATGAAAAAGGAGATCGCTACCTTTCCCTTTCTCTTCTGTTTTTAAATTCTGAGATAAATTTTATCCTTTTGTGTGTTCAGTGTCCATAGCAGTGACAAACTAACTTATACTTAAGATATGTGAGTTAGATAGCTGGTTTATATAAAGTACATTCTTTAAAAGAGAAGATAAGCAGAAATGAGATTCATAGCAGGGAAATTCTAACTCTTCATCCAAGAATCACTTTCTTCTCTTCTGAAAAATGAAACACGAGAACTTTCACTTAACACTTACCTCCATAAGAAACTCACAAACTTAGTAAAACATTTGTTCATGAACTCTTATTATGTGTGTGAAAACAGTGGCTTATGTATCCAGCTTTAACTATCATCTCTGCTCTCAGTTCATATATAGTGCAAGGAACTCCCAAAGTGGTTTCTACTTCACTCCAGTGGGATATGAAAGTAATTCTTTCTACCAACCCCCCAAAAAATTATGATAGAAAGAGAATTAACCTAGCAACCAGGACATCCAATTAACCTTCTATCTTTATCACTAAATGTAGTGAGACATTGGGCAAGGGGCATTTTTATGTCTCCAAATACTCCTTCCATATAAAATGAGGGGTTTGAAATAGACACCTCCAAGGTCTGCTCCATATGTAGAATCCTATGATATTGTATTGATTAGAGCCATAATATGTAAGTGTTAGTTGATAGCTTAAAACTGGAAGTTTAACCTTTATCTTAGAGACACATTTGATGTTGAAATTAGCTGATATATATTTGAAAGAGCTTAGCTTTGATCTAGTGCATAGACTCAAAACAGCATGATGTCTTTTAAATATAACTTAAACATAAAATGACAGTCTGAAGGGAGAATTACTGTTAGGTCCAATTTTTAAAAAGGAGTGTATATTGCAATTGCATCCTTTATTAACCAGAAACTCAGAGTCCTTATAAAATGTGGACCCTAGTTTGTCTGTTTTATTCTAAGAAGAGTCTTATACAGAGCTTCAACTAATAGTTGTAATAAAGTATAATTAAGAATTCAAGATTTACCACAAATATATACCTTTTGTGTTTGTGCTTGTGTGTGTGTGTGTGTGTGTGCGTGTGTGTGTATTAGAGACAGGGTCTCACTTTGTTGCCCGAGCTGGAGTTCAGTGGTGCTATCACGACTCCCTGCAGCCTTGGTCTCCCAGGCTCAAGTGATCCTCTCACCTCAGTCACCCAAGTAGTTGGGATACAGATGCACACCACCCTGTCCAGCAAACTTTTTTAAATTTTTGGAATGGTTAATTTTTAAATATTGTGGGTACACTGTAGGTTTATATAGTTATGGGTTACATGATATGTTTTGATACAGGTACACAATGTACAATAATCACATAAGGATAAGCAGGGTATCTATCCCCTTGAACATTTATCCTTTGTGTTACAAACAATCCAATTATACTCTTTTAGTTATTTTTAAATGTACAATTAAATTATTATTGACTATAGTCACCCTGTTGGGCTAGCAAATAATAGGTCTTATTTATTCTTCCTATATTTTGTACTCATTAACCATTCCAACTTCCCCCCCAACTGCCCCCTCACTACCTTTCCTGGCCTCTAGTAACCATTCTTCTACTCTTATCTCCATGAATTCAATTGTTTTAATTTCTAACTCCCACAAATAAGTGAGAACATGCAGTTTGTCTTTCTGTGCCTGGCTTGTTTCACATATCATAACAACCTCCAGTTTTATCCATGTGGTTGCAAATGACAAGATGTCATTCTTTTTTACTCCACTGTATATATGTACCACACTTTCTTTATCCATTCATATGTTGTCATATTTTCTCCCTCCCTCCCTCTCTCCTTCCCTTCCTTTTTTCCTTCCTTCCTTCCTTTCCTTCCTTCTATCTCTCTTCTCTCTCTTTCTCTCTTCCCTCTCTTTCCTTCCTTCCTTTGTTTCCTTCCTTCTCTCTCTCTTTCTCTCTTCTCTCTTTCCTTCCTTCCTTTCTTTCTTCCTTCCTTCCTCCCTCCCTCCCTCCCTTCCTTCCTTCCTTCCCTCCCTTCCCTTCCCTTTCCTTCCTTCCTTCCTTTCTTCCCTCTCTCTTCTCTCTTTTTTCTCTCTTCTCTCTCCTTCCTTCCTTCCCTTCCCTTCCTTCCTCCCTTCTTTTCTTTTTTCTTTTTTTTTCTTTTATTTTTCTTTTCTCTTATTTTCTTTCTTTCTTTCTTTTTTTGGTAGAGATGAGGGTTTCTACCAGAGACCATGGAGGGTCTCTCCATCTCGCCCAGGCTGGTTTCACACTCCTAGGCTAAGGGATCCTTCTGCCTCAGACTCCCAGACTGCTGAGATTATGGGTGTGAGTCGCTGCTCCTGGCCTAGCCACTCCATTCAGCCTTATTTTTAAATATTTATTGAATTTAAATACTGAATAATATTTAATAAGTATTATTCAATATTTATTACATTGTTAAGCACTTAAATGATTTAAGACTAAATTTAAAACTTGTGATTTCCTTTAATTATGATGAAGTAAGATTATAATCTGAAAGAATATTTTATTTAAAATTATGATGGATATCTATATAAATGTAAGATTTACTGACCAAAAATGGAATTCATTTTCAATGTGGATGTTATTTCCCTATTTGTTAATCTGCAGTGTGATGATAAGTTTCCCATTGGCTTTTATATTTCTTTATTTTTTCCTTTAATTGTATTTATATGAGAAAGATAACTAGGGACTTCAATTAGGACACATTGGAGGGGTCAGAAACCACATAATGGAATTAAGTCATGAAGTTTGGAGATAGAGGCATTCCAAGAGTGGAGTGACCTTTGAGAATTTTGTGGTGGAAGTGAAATTTATATAGGTCTCTATTTTGATTTTAGAGTAGAAATAGTGTCGTGATAGTATGATTTATAATAAGAAATATGTATTTGATCTTCAAACTGTTTTCTGGCACCCAGCTTCTTAAAAGTCTTGAAATCTCCAAAGTGTTAAGTATCTTTTTTATATGCTAATTAGAGGACTGATGGCTGAGAGCTTCTGGATACCTTCAAGATGGGAACCAAAGGAGCTGAAAGTTGAGTTGAACATCCATGGCCAATGATTTAATCAATCATGCTTAGGTAATGAAACCTCCATAAAAATACAATAGGACTGGGTTTGGAGAGCTTCCAAGTTGGTGAATAAGAACATACCCACATTTGAGAGGGAGACGTAACTATATGAGGGAACAGAAGTTCCTGAGCTTGGAACCCTTCCGACCCTCTGAATCTCACCCTATGTACCTCATAATCTAGTTATTTATTCACATCCTTTAAAATATTCTTTGTAATAAATTGGCAATGTTTTGGGAAGCCAAGGCAGGAAGATCTCTTGAGTCCAGGGGTTCAAGAACAGCCTGGGCAACATGGCAAAACCCCATCTTTATCAAAATAAAATACAAAAATTAGCCAGGAGTAGTGATGCAAACCTGTAGCCCCAGCTACTTAAGAGGCTGAAGTGGGAGGATTGCTTGAGCCAGGAGGTTGAGGTTGCTGTGAGTCATGATTGTGCCACTGCACCCCAGCCTGGCAACAGAACAGAGCAAAACCTTGCCTCAAATAGTAATAATGATAATATAATATAATATAATATAATATAATATAATATAATATAATATATTGATAATAGTAAGTAGAGTGTTGCCATGAGTTCTGTGAAGTGTTTTAGCAAATTCATTCAACCTGAGGAGGAGGTCATTCCATATTTATAGCTATTTGGTGCGACACACAGGCAAAGCAACCTAAGGTTTGCCATTGGCATGTGAACTGAAGCAGTCCAGTGGGACTGAGTATTTCATCTGTGAGATCTGATGCTTACTCCTTGTATATAGTGTCAGAATTGAATTGAATTATATGACAGCCAGTTGGTATCTGCTGGAGAACTGGTTGTTGGTGGGGAGAAATCTATACAGATTTTGGTTACCAGAAGTGAAACATTGCATTCTGTATTGAGAGTTAGAACAGAAAAAGTATTTTTTTTTAACTCTCTTACAGTACAAACTTAGAATAAATTTATATCTTAAAAAAACCATGTGACTCAGAAATAAAACAGCAATAAACAATGAACAAAAAATCCAGAAACAGACATTATCTAAGTAACTTGTTACGGTTTGAGTGTGCCTGCCAAACTTCATGTGTTGGAAAAACATACAACAGTGCTGAGAGGCAGAGCCTTTAAAAGGTGATTAGGTCATGAGGGCTCTTCCACCATGAATGGATTAATGCCATTATCACTGGAGTGGGTTATTGTGGGAGCAGATTCCTGATGTAAGGAAGAGTTTGGCACCCTTCCCTATCTCTTGCACATGTACTGTTTTGTCCTTCCACCATGGGATGATGCAGCAAGAAGGTCCTTGTCAGATGAGGCCCCTCAGTCTTGTACTTCCTGGCCTCCAGAACTGTGAGCCAAATACATTTCTATTTATTACAGCTTATGCAATCTTGGGGATTCTGTAATAGCATCACAAAACAGACTAAGCCATAACTTGTTACCTAAATTGAACTTACTGACATATCTGAGTTCTGTAAGTATTCTTTGTACTATAATTTTCACCCATTTACAGGTTGTAACTTCCTAAGACTTAGAGAGTTGGCAAGTAAAACAGTTGACTTAAAAAGTGTGTTGTAATTTGCATTTAAGAGCCAAGAAATGTACCCAAAAAAGAGAAATCACCTACAGAAAATGTATGTTTTTTTTTTCCCTTGGGTTGGAGTCTCTAGGAAAAAGTCCTTAAAACTATAATAAATGAGGCATAAAATGTGATTGTAATAAAGCCTTTGTCAATAGAGAGAGTTGCAAATAGTAAGATGAAAGGTTTTCCTTCATTTTCTTTCTCCTGATCTGTGATGAGTATATAATCTAGTCTTAGTTTTGTTCTCAAATCGTACCAATGGTTTTAATCAAAATTCACTTAAGGGTGATTATTTAAAAATAAACTTTCGAATGATGTATTGTGCATTTTAAACACTCTCACCTATCATCATCCAGGAAAATGTATATATTTATATTTTTTTGTCTCATTAACTACTTTCACATTTTGTCTTCTCCAGCCAGAAGTTTTACTAAAGTGATGGCAAAGAAGAAAACAGATGCCCAGAATGAATGTGTTACAATATATTGCACAATAGTGATAGCAAATTCCACAAAGCAAATCAGTGACAGACTAGCCTATTTTTTTGTTACTCCATTTTATATTCTAGACTCCAAACTATATGTAAAAGAAAATAAGTCATAAAAATCTAAAGTAGTTACAAATACAAAAAGAAGTAAGTAAGGTACACGTAACCAAATAAGATAAATGAGTTAAAATCTAAAACATATTAATTTAAATTCTGCTGAAATTTAGTAAAGAATACATGATCAAAAACAATATAAGAAAGAATTCTGGACCTGACATTTCAAATGCCAATTATTGTAGTTTATTTAAATTAATTGATTTCAATTACTCAGAATTAACCTTGCAATTAATAGTTATGTACGTATGTTTTATTTATTTATTTAAAATTATTTTCTTATTCAAAGGATTAAAAATAAGCTCATCTGCATTGTACATTTACCTTAACATTATATAAGATAATTGTTAAAAAATAACTCTATACCGCCTTGTATTTGAAAAGGAAATACAATTACTTATCAATTACACAAAAATAGAAGTTATTTTCAATTGCACAAAAAGATGATCGCACATATATTGCCTTAGTGTCATAATAAACAGCCCAATTATATTATTTATTGTTCTCTCAATAGCAGAGTAGAATCTTAGAAACTTGAGTCCAGGAAACGTGCTTGTGGATTTCAAGTTGTGGTGACTTCATTAAAATAACTATTAGATTGTATTATTAGAAATAGATTATTTCTTCCACCATTTTTTCCTTTTTTTTTTTCTTGTACTTACAGTGGGTGGACTTTATACACTTTTCAGTCCGTTTCTCCTATCCTGGACAGTGAATTACAGACTCTGAAGCAGATCTAAAGCAACAGACACAATTGTAAAAGAGGAGGTATGAAGTTCGACTATATAAAAATGTTAACTTATTCAAACTTAGTACTGCCTGTGATCTATCCTCAAGAAGGAAGAATGAGGCAGCTACAGGTCAGAATGCTGCAAGTAATTTGGGAAATGTTAAAAAGAAAAAAGAGAGGAAAAAAGAAAAGCTTCGGAAGAAGTTATATCAGGAAGATAAAATAATAGTGATGAACTATTCTACATTGTATCATCCATTACACATGCCAAAATACTATAACGTATGAAAGACTCTTGTCAACATACAGTAATGTGATGACTGATACTAATTAGACAGGTTTTACTCTACACATAAGTCTGGCTCTTATAGTTCTTGCTACTCATAAACATAAGGGGTTACTGATTCAATGACAGGCAGAATTTCCTGCTGAACCAGAAAGAAGATAATGGTTTAGAGATTAAATTTGAAAGTGTTAAGTGGGAGACATATTCAAAACAGTTAACACTGATTAATATTTTTGGAGGAAGAAAATGTTTGTATTAACATGACGGTATTATAGAAAGCGATAGCATTACTTATTGCTTCATTTAGTTATTTACTAAACAACAGGGACATCTGAACTTTTTCCCAAGTGGAATGAATTTATCTTCCCTCACGCTTTTTGCTAAGAAAAGCACTCCCACGAGAAGTGATTTAAAAAGATAAATACAATCAGGATATTCCATCCAACTTTTTCTACAAATTAAGTCAGATAGATGTAGAAGACAATACATGTACCTATGTTTAAAAGGATGATTACAAATAAAAACATTTTATGAAAACAGAAAATCTCAGTCTACTCAATGTTCTTCTAAAGACAAATTGTTCATAGCACCATTAGTCATAACTCAACTAAATTTCACTATGGGTTTCCAGTGCCCGCATTCTTGACTTGTTCCTTTGAGGCAATATAAAAGAGAGATTTTACAACGGGCTTGTAAAACATGAGGTCTTATAGGTATTATAAGTTACTATACATATGTATGTATTTTGAGTTTAACTGTTTCAGCTGAAGAAATATATTTACTTGATTTTTCCCTTTATTACTAACATTTACCTCCTACTTAGAAAAGTAGACCTGAAAAAATAAGAAATTAGAAGTGAAATATTCAAAAATGTCCTCATTCCTACACATTTGTGGTTGCTGTCTATAAATTGTTTTCACTGAAACATTTTCTCTTGGATTTAACACTGATAAGGTTCACCTGGAACCCCACAAAACCCTGATAGACTACAATCTTTTGTCTTTATACAGTTTACAATGTGTTTTTTCATAAATGAAACTTCAGTTTATCTCATCAGGAAAACTCTATAAATTATCCCAGGAAACTGAGGCTGAGAGAAATTTAACTAATTTATTTAAGGTCCTAACTTTGTTTCCCATGATATTATCCATGGAACACTGACTTTACAAAGGAAAAGAGTAAAGGCAAAAATTGCAGTCAGGTAAAAGAAACAAAAAAAATGTAATCTTTACTTATTTTCGGGAAAACCAGAGAATGATGACATTTATTCTTAATTATATCTAACTTGACTTGAAATAGTATAACTCTCCTTTTTTCCCTCTCTTGACAATAGCATGACTCTACACTTTATTACTATATCCACAGGTGCTAGAAACAGCCTCTGGCGCATAGTAGATACTCAGTAAATATTCACACAATTAACAAGTTGCATTTTGTACCTGTAAACCTCTAATATTTTAAAACGTCAACTGAATTAAGTGAAGTGTTGAAACTGAACTGCTCATATTCACAAATTGTGAACTAGACATTGTTTAATCCCTTCAGTGCTGCTCTATTACTGTCACTCTTTGGGATGTTAATGAAATATGTTAATATGTCAAACATCCTGGATGAAAAGTAAATGTGAAATGCAAGATGTGTATTATTTTTCTGACTGCAAATGCAATTGAGCACTTCTGTTAAATATGATTCATATTTTGTCTAACACAGAAAATCCCTCACGTTTCTATTCTCTCACACTATGCACATTTTAAATACATCTTAAAGGATCAAAAAGCAGCTAGGTGGTATGATATTTATTTTCCTTTAATCCATTGTTATCCCTTTACGTTGCATGGCTATTCAGTATTTTCCTCAATACCTTGTAGTATTTTAAGCTGTACTTAAAGAAATGCCCTTGAGCATATCTTATTTTCATATGTAGTTTGGTAGACTGTTACAATTGTGCTTATTATTTTAAGCAGAATTCATATGTTATTGATGAAAATAAAACTGGCCCCATTTAAAAGTATCACGGCAGTTAAAGTTTATGATAAGATGTGTGATGAGTTGGTGTGATTGAATCATTACTGAATAGAGACATAAATTTCCAATAGTACCACCACACGGGACTGAAACATATAGAACAGGATGTCTGGCCATGGGGTGAAGGGAAGGGCGAAGTGTGTGTTCTCTCTTTCACTAGGGGAATGTTTCTCCCACCAAGGCCTTTAACACTCACAGACTGCTTTTCCCTATGGTTGGTGTCCATTAATCTTACCACCTCCTGCCCAGCTGAGTCAGCATTTACAGATTCAGCACTTTCTCAACAAGCAAATGGCTCTTTAGTTGTTAGATCTTGCCCAAGAGAAACACCCTGCACAGTGGGAAATAATCAGGCCTCATACATTTACAATTCAAAAAGGTTAGGTAACAATTTCAGTCAATGTAAATAGGCTTCTTTGGACACTCCTTATCGCCTAGATGATCTTGATGGTGAGAATGATATGAATGTTTCTCTACCAATATTAAAATTTTAATTCCTCATAAAAGAAACACAAATAGCTAAAGATGTCCATATATTATCCTGTTGTAAAATAAACCTTCTCATACTATATACACATTTTTGAGTTTCAGGTAGTTTTGATTTATTCCTTTTGTAAATATTTAAGAAGATTATTCTATTTTTCTGCTAATAAATGTTTAATCTACTGATATTCCCTTTTCCTCGGATGGAAAAATCTCAACGGTCTTTTGGACAGTCTTCAATTTCTTTCAAAAATAAAAGAGTGTGATAAATCAGCTGTCATGTATTGGTTAAGAAACAGGCATTTTTAGAAACGTTACAGATTCCTTGATAGACTAAATTTCAAATATTTCACCTATATTTTCACCTAACTGAAAACAAAATTTTCTAAGTGCATGTTTTCACAGATTGCCGGAGAATAAGCATTTCATTAATTGATCCTGGGCTTAAGACTATATCTTTAAAATTTGTACTACAGTTTTGATTATAAATTTGACAGCTAAATGTAAAAGACATATAACCTTAAGAGTACATCTTACTGTAGACAGAGCAAAGAAGCAGATACTTTCAAATTTATGGCATTCCCTTAGTGTGTACCATGTATTCGACTCTTAAAAATAGTTTTCTACAGCTTCCGTTTTATATTCCTTGATTTAGTATGTTCCTTAGGTTGATAAACCAATCCTTGAGAGCAAGTGCCATACCTTGCTCATGTGTTAATAAACATAGTGACATCTCGCATAAATGATATGTAATAATGTTTATTGGATTTAGTGACAGGGAAAAGTGCTCTCTGGCCTTGCCATTACGAATGCATGCCTCTACTAATCACTCTCAAACTTTAGTGTTAGGGATTTTTTGCAAGATGCTTGTATAAAATGCAGATTCAGCTGTCTCATATGCAGTTATTCTTGTTTAGTAGGCCTGAGTATGGCTTCAGAATCTGAACTTGTACAAACATCATGATAATACTGACACAAGTGTTTCCTGAAGAGTGCTTTGAAAAATACTGCTTTTTAAAAGTTAAGCATGTTGTTCTTCCATGAGTAGATCCTTGAATTCTTTCAGTAGGCTAATTTTTAAGACAATGCCCTCTTACATATGTATTGCTCCAGGGATGCTTCACATGCCCGTGTTTTGCATAAAATAAGGCAGAGAGTCTTTGAATCTGATGCACAGTTGATTGACAACTTGTAATACTGGAAGGTCAGCACTAATTACTGAGCCTCATTTGCATGCGAAATTTTGAAAGATGGAAACTAAAGTGTCTGTGGCATTTTCTGCCAATAAATTACCTGCCTGACAGGAAGGCGTCACTGCTCATCAACGCTGGTAGTGTGTAAGCTGGTACTTGTTCAGTTAAGGAGAAGAGAAATAGTGCCTCAGAGAGTTATCTTCCTGGGAATAATTACTATAGGTGTCAACAGGCTGGAAAAAGAAGGGAGCCCTTTGCTAGTCTGTGAGTTAAGTTTGTGAATGATGAAAGGTCTGATTGTAATGATCATCAAAATCTCTATCCCACATCTAGGTTTGCTCATTTGTCACTGATTATAAGAGCATGAGAAAGAGCTCAGGAAATAGACAGTAATTAGGTGGTTAAGAACAAAATCTCTTTACTTACTCCATGGATTCCTGAGACACTTCTAAGATGAGGTTACTGCTCTGAAAGGTAATGTTTTGGGGTAGACTGCAAGAGCCAACAAAAAGGATGAAGTCTGCATTTTCTGGGGCCAGAATATTTGGAGCACCTGAGGCTTTGGTTTGTGTCTCCATAGAGGTTTGCTAACTTCCTTTACAAATTTAGAACTGTTCTAAGTCAATGTCTTTCCTCTTTGCTCTACTGCTTACAGGTTCTGGTGCTGGCTAGAAGCATCCTTTGATTTTCATAAACTTTTCTTTGTAGCCATCAAATAGCAGTTTGGAGCCCCCTCTTGGAGACGGAACATATTTGAATATTTGCTAGGAGACAACTGAAGCCTAGGGATGGTAAGTAGAGGCCTTTCATCTGGTTTACATAGCTCAGAGTTCACTACCATCATCAACACTGATCACTTCAGAGTTCTGTAGCTCTGTTCTGTGTTAACCCTCTCAGACCCCTATGGCCTCTGAGAGACCTGACCCCTACTTTGAGACACACTGAACTGGAAATAATAACTCCCATATGGGAGAAGAATACTCCAGCCCCAAGAGCTTATCAAGCTTTGTTTTTTCTATGACTACTAAGAAAAGGAGTGTGTATTGGAAGCAATTCTCTCAGCTTATAGCTATTTTGATAGGGGTTCTATATTTAATAAAGGTTAAATCCATTGAAACTGTGAGTCAAAGGCACTTTTCATGTCCAACAATTTCACCTACTTTAGAAGCCTGCCTCTTCCCACTCTCCCCATGCTTGCTCAAAGCGAAAAATGGGCGGCATTGGTTTTGTTTAGTAGGCAAATGGCCCTTCCCCCAAAGAATATGAATAAGTATTTTCAATCTGAACTTGTGCATCACTCTTATAAGTCTCTCTCCTCTACACAAAAGAAATCTCTTTGTAGTAATTGCAAGACTTAATTAGCCAGTGTTCAAACAAAGGCATCCTTTGTTCACCTATCAACAGCCTGCTTTCATCGATAGTTCCCTGACTCTCTGAAGACTACTCTTTTTCTAAGTTTTGCAGACTTGTATTTTCAGCTTTGGGGTCCTTTGATATAAGTGCTCGCTTTCCTCTCCCCGGTGTCTTTTCTTGGCCTCATCCCCACTGTAGAAAACTCCTTCATGGTTGGTGGTGATCTGATCACCTTTCCAGTCTGCTAATTCCTAGTCTTCAGTAGTGGTACAGAAGCAGATTTTTGAAACAGCAGCAATGCTGGGGGAATAACGGGCCACTGAAAGAGTTGAATTTCATTTAGTTCCATTTTTTTTTTTCCTTCTTCAAGTCAGAGCTAGAGCAATAGCAGGGAAGGGTGAGGAATTATGAGCACCTGAAAAATACTAGAAAGATAAGCCAGTGAATGCACTGTAAAAATGTAAGCTCTGTCTCCTTTAAGAACAAAAGGAAAAAAAGGACATCATATATAATTCCACAGGTTTAAAAAAAAGTTTAAATCACTTATTAGCTAATTTATGGCTATCACATTCTGAGCATTACCAGATATTACTCTCATTGAAGTTGCCTTCTTTCTCTCCTCTGCTTATGTAAATCCTACTCAAACATTTCATGACACTTTTTATGTTGACATTTAAAAGGCTTATGTCCTAGAGATTGCTGTTTTCTTTCCTAGGTAATAATCTTAAAATTTACATACCTTTTGGAGCCTGACATCTGTAGACTCAAATCTATAATGTTTCTGCCACTAACTTAAAAAAAAAACAACTCAGAGTCTCAGTTGTTAGTGCAGAGGAAGTTCTCACTGCCCTTAAGTAATCCCTTCAGAAAATGTACCTATTATCATGATTATTCCTACCTCATGGTAAGTGATGCTTGTAATTTATATCCTTAAAGCTCAATATCTATGGCATTCATAAGCGTAGATCTCCATATCAAATAGAAGGTTTTCAAAATCATTTATTGTTTCTATAGAGCTCTCTATTAAATCCGTTAAGCAGAAATATTAATTTACATTACCACGACATTTGAATTTGAAAGATAATTCATGGCTTACAAAAAGATGTTTTAAAATAATAAACACATTCTTACAATAAATTTGCACTCAGTCATCTTGAGTTGTCATCAGACACTACTGCAACTAATCAGGATGTTCTTCACCTGTTTCAGGAGAGAATTTACTAACTCTTCCAAAGTTTACCAATGCAATACCAGTTCTGACAATTTCACAGATGTTAGATTCCAAGTATCGAATACAAAACAAAACGAACTTGTGTTTTAGCTTTTCCAATGAAATTTTTATGATTCCCAGAAGACGTTTGTTTAATTTCACTACACTATCTCATCAATTATTTGTGTGCTACATGCCCTATCACAGTTACAACTCTACTTCTCCCTAACACGACTTCAAGAACACAGTGTACATCTCTCGTTTATCATGAATTTGCCTGCTCTGACCACTTTTCTGAAAGAAGTATCTTTTTTCCAGTTCAGAAAAAAGCCACTTCCTTGATCTTCAGATATTTCTGCACAAAAAGATTTTGTTTACTGATGAACTTATTTGTATAAGCAACTGGCCTCATTTAGCAGTCATGATGTCAAATCAACTCAGTGTAAAATAGCAAACTGTGTCCGCCCATCTATACTTGATTTCTTCTTTTACTATCTGCCCTATGATATCAACTGTACTCTATTAAGTTAGAGTACATACTCTTCTAGTTTATTGCAGACCTTATTTAATTAACATTTAAAGAAAACAGGTATAAATCATATTTTACTTTTCTTATCATAAAAATGATAATCTCTGGAAGAAATAAATACCCTCAAACAATAGTAAGCAGATTACTAACAACATTCTGTATTTATTTCAAGGCAGCTTTCTATCAAGGTTAAATTCAGTTTTTAAACAAACTCATTAGTGATGATTTGCTCTACATTTAAACCTCCTTAAATTCTCAACTTGGTTAATATTTTCTCAAGTATTATCAATAATAAACCATTTTGGATATCAACCGTAGAAGGAGAAAAACAAGCCACGTGTTATGAAAAGGACACAGCAGTATTCTTGATCTTGAAAGACCTTCAGTACAATGCAATAGTTCAGTCATAAATCCATTAGAATATAACAATAAATATAAGGAAACTTATAATACATGCAAAAGGAATAATAACAAGGTGAGAACATTGAGGATTGGGGTGGTCAGGGAAAAATTACGTTTTGTTAAGTCATATAATAAGCAGACTCTAAACAATTGTGAAAAATTATCGTGAAGGAAGAAGAAACAGTGAGTTTCATTACACACTATACATAAGTGATTTTAGGCATTTTAAGAGTACAGATTTAAAGTCTACTTTTCTAGTTTACCAAGTTTGGTTTAAGTAGTCATTTATATTAAAAAGTTAATCCTTAATAAAATTATATGAACATTTAATTAACTGAATTGGATTTAAAAACTCTTTTTAGCATATACTCTTCCATTGGTTGAGATACAGTAATACGCTTAAATTAAAAGTCTATTTTCCTTTCTATCTTGTAATGGTTTGCAAACTTTTTTAAATCTGAAAGTCCTATTACTCTATTTTAAGTATGAATAAGATTCAAAAGAACTTTCCTTTCAGTTGTTACAGTATGCTGTTCCAGACTGAGTTGATTTGACATGCTGAAAATCCATTCATATTACTTTCAAATTCATTTAAGACATTAAGACAAACAAATCTGCATTTTTACTTCATTAAGTAATTTACAGAAAATGATGGATTTTAATGCTATTTTGGAAACTGAAACATTCAACTAGAACAAAAACTTCTTTGATTCTATTTGATTAGAGATAACAAGGAAAATAAAACGACGTGAAGAGCAGAAATGCTGCAAAAAGACATATTTATCAGCTTGGCGCTATCATCTGTCTCTTAATTTTGTCGCATAAAAATCATTAACGTTACTGGCCAGGCATGGCGGTGGCTCACACCTGTAATCCCAGCACTTTGAGAGGCGGAGGCGGGCAGATCACTTGAGGTCAGGAGTTCGAGACCAGCCTGGCCAACATGGTGAAAACCCGTGTCTCCTGAAATACAAAAATTAGCCAGGATGGTGGTGCATGCCTCTAGTCCCAGCTACTTGGGAGGCTGAGGCAGGAGAATCGCTTGAACCATGGGGTGGTGGAAGTTGCAGTGAGCCAAGATTGCACCACTGCACTCCAGCTAGGGTGACAGAGTAAGACTCTGTCTCAAAAAATATATATAAATAAATGAAATAAAAATAAACAAATAAATAAAATAAGACCGTCAATGTTATTACTTAAATCTGCGCACATTGAATGAAAAATAATGGAATTTGAAAAACAGTCATTTTACTGTGCGTTTTAACTGCCTTGATTTCCCACCTCCCTGTTTCCCCCCTTCATATTCTATTAAAAAAGCACTCCATCTATTGATAACTACATACAACTTCTAATTTTAGTTCTATTTTTTCAAACTTTAGCGTATAAAGCTTTACTGGGTGCACCATTTACTTCTCCCAACTTCTTGGGACTCAGGATCTTTGGTCTTTCCTCCCATCTTTATCAAAACTTGCTCCGAATAAATCTGGTTTTATAGTGACTTTTAGTATCCTTTCACTAGGGGACTATTTAACCTAAATTAATAATTTTCAAGCATAAGTTACATGGGAAAAAGGTCAGTTTTTGGTTGCAGGAACATCCTAACACCCATTAAAAACTCTCTGTGTAAGCAGTTACTTACTGGCCCGGCACAGTGGCTCATGCCTGTAATCCCAGAACTTTGGGAGGCCTAAGTAGGCAGATCACCTGAGGTCGGGTGTTGGAGACCAGCCTGACCAACATGGAGAAACCTTGTCTCTACTAAAAATACAAAATTAGCTGGGCATGGTGTCACATGCCTGTAATCCCAGCTACCCGAGAGGCTGAGGCAGGAGAATGGCTAGAACCTGGGAGGTAGAGGTTGTAGAGAGCTGAGATGGCATCATTGCACTCCAGCCTGGACAACAAGAGCAAAACTCCATCTCAAAACAAAAACAAAAACAAAAACAAAAAACAGTTACTTACTTTACGTAAGGCAAGAGATTAGGAGTGAATTTAAGCTTCCTATACAACAAAATGTAAATATTGCATAGTATAGCACCTGAGAAAAGACTAATATAAAACTAAGGCAAAGAGGATAGACACAAAAATTCATCCTAAAATATGTATAGAGACACTTTCACTTATTAAATTAATAACCAAATATTAATTATAGATATTCCTGAGAAATAAAATATTTTATTAAAAATAAACAGAAACAAAGATACCATTCCATGGTTACATGTTCGGATAAGACAGAAAAAAGACTAAAATGATGCAGAATTAGTAAATCTAGTACTGAAGTTTCCAATAAGATGGGCTGGTGACTGTCTATAATTGAATAATAATACTCTAAGTACATGTTTAAAGTTAATTATTTTTCATATTTTACCACTTTTCACAAAAATCTTTTGAGTTAGATAGTGAAAATGCTATGCTTTCCATTTTACTACAAATTTAGAGCTTTTCAAGGCATTAAGAAGATGTGAGAGAGAAACAGTATGGATTTGAATGAGATTTAGTCTTAATCACACATATTTAGCAAAGTTTTTCAACTTGGAAGAAATAGAAAGCGGCCTTATCCAAAACCTTTCATGATATCTGTGCTGTGCTGTACACAATCGGCTGTTGATTCTCACAATAGCCTGTCTATGAAACTTGTGTGGTCTATCTTAGGAAGCCAAAAGAGTGAGATAATGACAATAGCACTTATTATAAAAGCCACATTTTTGATCATCCTATTTGTGGTTTAAATTTCCCTTTATTAAGAAAAACTGGCTGATGTAAAATCACTTGCTAGACAGTACAGACTCAGCTTCCCTCTCCTCCAATTTTCCACAGAACCACTGGCCACCACACACATTGCTGTCAAATTGTTCTGTTTCTTGTCAGCTGCACACTGGGCAGAATAGGGGGCTGGTTATGCACTAATTAGGAGGGTGGACTTATTTAAAAGTTTCATTCTAAGAAATATAGCTGCCAAATATTAGCTTATCGGAAAGTTTTTTGAGGAGAAAAGGCAGGGATAGAAGAACTACAAAATAAAATTTTCATTTATTTGGGCCAGGATATGGAAAGAAATTTGTCTTGAGAATGGCACCAATATTAAAGGAAATTCTTCTCTGAAACTAGAAAAAGCTGCAGTATTGTCCACTTGAAACTGATGACTTTAGAAAAAAAAATGCAAAACATTCTCATGTGAATTTGACTAAATTGCTGTTTTTTTCTGAAATAATTATAGACTAATAAAGGTGCTAAATTTATAGGAAAGACATTAATGTAGCTTGACAGAAATAACAGTGTAAACCTGTAGTATATTGAAAGTTCCCACAACAAATTTATCTGTTAACGTTGTTAATTATGTATGGAGAGTGCCATAAATTGAAGTTTTTCCCGATTTGAAAAAATTGACTTGTGCTAAATTCTCCTTAACATGTAATTAAGACATATGCCAAGGGTTATTTTAACATATCATATTTATGATTAAAGAATAGTATGAAAGTAAAAAAATTGACTAAGAGAGTATATAAATGACTAAAAGATTATATAAATAATCTATCTCTGTATGTACATATATGAACTCTAAGTGCATATGAATAAATACAAAATACAAGAGAAAGATTATTTGCATACACATTAAGAACAGTCATCCTCTGATAATGAAACAGGTGATTTGCTTAACTGTATTTTATATGATTCTCCGCTGGGAACAATTTACTTATTAATGACTACAATATAATGTTTTAATCTTTTGTTTTTGAATATTGAGGGATTTTAAAGCACCGAGCAAACTAAACTGAGTACTAAATAATTTATAATGGTACTACAGTAACAAGAAAAGAGGCTTATGAGTTCATATTTGAGCATAAATTTTACAATTTTAAAATGAAACATGATCGTGACAGAAAAAACAAAAGCACTTCTTTCCTGCCTAATAGTAGATTAGAAGCACTAAAAGGATTTAGGGTGGCAAGAAACATCTAATGTTTGAAATGATATTTAGTAGCCAAGATGCAAATATCAAAATGAACTTCAGTGAAAAATACCCTACATTTTAAAGATACTTGTCACAATGGGCCATTTAGTAACACAAATGACAACTTTTAGAAATAAATTAACTAATACATTTTACTGAAAGTATACAATAATTCTCCATATAGCTGTTCTTTGTGTTAATCTTGGATAAAACCTGAGGATGTAGAGTAATTCAATGAAGTGGGGTATGTACACTTTTTAGTTCTGAATAGCTGAGTAACTGAATTGTGCATAAAACTGACTAAGAATCAAAAGCCATGACACATCAACTAAACTATGGAAATTAGCAATCTTATTCTTGATAATATATTAAAAAAGAGGAATCAAAATATGACAATAATTAACAGTGGCATTGTTGTGACTACAAGCTATTGAGTTATTGTACAAGATAGAATTAAACCTGTGGTTCATTAGGAAAGGAGTTAGCATAATGGTTTTATTGAAATCGTTGTAATGAAAGACAATTTCACACACAGAAAATATAGTTTGAGTTCATGCAGATGTTCATGTATTTAAAAATTAAATTAAATTTATAGGTCAACCTGCTGTTGATTCTGTGCATGATTTTTTCTTAATTTCAATATACGAAAAATTTAAATTTAAAACAATATAAAAGTAAGGAAATGTGGGGAAAAAGACTCATGATCATACCACACAAACTGTATTCATATTTTAACGTTTTAACTAATGCAAATGTAAATTAAGTGTAAATTTTGATATAAATGTAAAGCAACATTCAAAATTTAATAAGCATTTTTTATTACTTATATATAGGTTATGATGAGATACTTAAGATTGAAATATTACAAAAGTAAATTTTAAGCTAAATTAAACAGCTTAAAACCAGCTGAAATGCATAACTTGGCTGAAGTTGCATGACACTGGCTCCAGGGGCTCATCAAGGCTCTATCTATTCTCTCTATCATTTGGCTTTACCTCCTTCTCTGTTGCAGTTTGCTTAATTCAGCTATGAGGAAAACTCCATAATTAACCACCAATGCCCTGAGCCCCACATCCTTCCATCTAAGAAACCCCAGTGGAAAGAGAACTTCTCTATTCAAAGCACACTCAATAAATCAGGAAAGAACTTGCATGGTTCTTGCTTAAGTTAGATGGTTATTGTATCTAATGAACTGGACTAATAAGTACTGATCAATCCTGGGTCATGTGCCACAATTGCTGAGGATTTTTTTTTTTTTTTTTTTTTTTTGAAACAGAATCTTGCTCTGTCACTCGCGCTGGAGTGCAGTGGCACGATCTCAGCTCACTGCAACCTCCACCCCCTGGGTTGAAGCAATTCTCCTGCCTCAGCTTCCCGAATAGCTGAGACTACAGGCACGGGCCACCACGCCTGGGTAATTTTTTTTTTTTTTTTTTTTTTTGTATTTTTAGTAGAGAGGGGGTTTTGCCATGTTGACCAGGCTGGTCTCAAAGTCCTGACCTCAAGTGGTCTCCCAAAGTGCTAGGATTACAGGCGTAAGCCACCGTGCCTGGCCAATATTTCTAAAAGAATTACAATGAACACAGAATATGTAGATAGGTGGAAAGAGAGAACAACTACAGTTGTACAAAGAATCCAAAATAAGTTGTTTCTGATTATTTATTTTTGTTTGCTTACTCTCTTTATATTAGCTTATATTTGGAGATGTTCAAATTTTAGGCTTTTATAGAAAGAGCTAGTGAGGTTTTGTATTCATTTAGTTTACTATTTTTTTTTCTATACTGAAGAACAATTAATACTGAAGATCTGCTTTTTAAAGCTGGAGACAAATTATTAGTAAAACTTCCTGAGCCCAAGATAATACCCAATAGATCTTCTCTGATTGTTTCTTGTTTTTCATTATTCTTTTTAAATTTTGTTAATCCAATTCTCAAACATTTTGCTTGACATAGAAATCATTAATTTTGCTAGTATTATTAAATTGAATAATTATGTATATTATTTATATGTATTTATTTTATTCTCTTTCATTATATCACCTTTCACAAATATATGTGTTTAATTTTATTTCTTGGTTTGTTTTGCCTATGATTGATCTATCTGTGGGGTTTCTGTGAATATGCATTTGTAATCTAGCTTTCAGATTTCTTTCTTTTTCCTTTTTTCTTTTTCTTTTCTTTTCTTTTTTTTTTTTTTTTGAGGTGGAGTCTCACTCTGTTGCCAGGCTGGAGTATGCAGTGGCGCGATCTCGGCTCACTGCAACCTCTGCCTCCGGGGTTCAAGCGATTCTCATGCCTCAGACTCTAGAGTACCTAGGACTACCGGCGTGCGCCACCACACCCAGATAATTTTTTTGTACTTTTAGTAGAAACGGGATTTCACCATGTTGGCCAGGATGGTCTCGATCCCCCCTTTTTTTTTTTTTTTTTTGAGATGGAGTCTCAATCTGTCACCCAAGCCGGAGTGCAGTGGCGCAATCTTGGCTCACTGCAAGCTCCACCTCCCAGGTTCAAGCCATTCTCTTGCCTCAGCCTCCCAGGTAGCTGGGACTACAGGTGCCCGCCACCACACCCAGCTAATTTTTTGTATTTTTAGTAGAGACGGGGTTTCACCATGTTAGCCAGGATGGTCTCGATCTCCTGACCTAGCGATCTGCCCACCTTGGACTCCCGAAGTGCTGGGATTACAGGCGTGAGCCACCACACCCGGCTGGTCTCGATTTCTTGAACTTGTGATCTTCCCATCTCAGCCTCCCAAATAGATTTCAGGTTTCTTAATAAATTATTCTGTCTATATATTTTTTAATGCATATTTTGCATTTAAATCTACAATTTTTCTATAATTGCTATCTTTATGTTTTTCTTTTCATAAAATATTTAATCAAATAATTATCTCACATAATTTATCTCTCTTCTTGTCTTCTATTCCATGTTTCTCTTCTCCTTGCCTTTATTTATTTATTGGGATTTTCTGTATAGATCATAAGGTACTCTTTGAATAGAGATTATCTTAATTCATTCTTTCCAAGTCAAATGACTTTTATTTATTTTTTTCCTGCCTTATGCACAGAAAAAGATATTAGGTGTGATGCTGAACAGAAATAATGATAGTGACATCATGCCTTGTTCTTGATATTAAAGAGAAGTACTTACTATTTCAGTGTTTGCTGCAGGCATTCATCAATATATAAAAGCTTTCTGTTCCTGGTTTGCTGAGATATTTCATCACTTGTAGTTGTTGAATTTTGCCAAATGCTTTTTCTCCATCTATTGAGATGATTACTTTTTTTTTCCTCCTGTTGATATGGTGAATTAGTTTGATTGAAGTATGAAAGTTGTACTAGATTTTCATTTCTGGGATAAATTCCTCTTGTTTCTGATGTATTAACCTTTTGATATATTGCTAGATTCTATTTACTGATATTTTTAATGGAGGAGTTTTGCATCTATATTCATGAGGGATTATGTTTCATAGTTTGTTTTATTGCAGTGCCTTTGCTTTTATTATCAGATTATGCTAGCTTCATGACAAAAATGAGCTGGAAAGTGTTTCCTCTTCTATTTTCTAGAAGAGTTTTTTTTCAGAAATGATATTTTTTTCTTGCTTAAATGTGTGATAAAATTTACCTGTAGAGCTATTTGATCCTGAAAATTTCTCTGTGATATTTTTCAACTAAATATTAATTTATAAAGAGTTATGGGGCCATTCAAGTCATTGCTTCATGGGTGAACTTTGGTTGTCTTTCAAGGATTTGTCCATTTCACTGAAGTTGCTGAACTTAAGAGCATAAAGTTGTTTATGATATCCTTTTTTATAGTTCAATTTTCTTAGGGCTTTTATGGATATCTCTTCTTTCTTTGCTGCTGCTGCTAATTTGCTTCTTGTCTTTTTTTTTCCCCTTGAGCTGCTAGGCTACAGTTTTATCAATTTTATTGATACTTTCAAAGACTTGAAGTGGGAGCAGACTATGCCACTCTAAAATGTGCCACTTTGGTATAAGGATTATTTTGAGCTAAAAGCACTTCAAAAACAGCAAATGTAAGCAGGCATTCATCTCTCACGTTTCTTCCTGAAAACAGAAGATAAAAACTCCCATGTTAAAGATGTCCTTCCTGTACCAGGAGAAAAGAAACATTCTTCGGTGGGGAATCATAGCCAAGAGAATTCTGAACAATGAGACCTTGTTAAAACAATTAGTATCTTCTTTTAACCTCCCCTATAGTTTAGTTACTTTTCAAAAACTGCCTCTCTTTGTTCAACTTAGAATAAAGGTATTTATGTTTCACCAGTTTTTTGTGTCTTTATTTCCTTATAGTGGCTCCTGTGTCACATAAATTTTATATAAATTTGTATGCTTTTCGTATGTTAATCTGTCTTATGCCAAATTATCAGGCCCAGCCAGATACCCTAAGAATTAAAAGTTTTTGCACCTACAGAACCATCTTTTTGTTTCTTTTTTTATTGTATATTTTAATTTTACTTATTTTCTTATGATACTTATTCTCCCTGCTTTCTTTGAATTTAATTTATTCTTCTCTTTATTTCCAAAAAAAGATTTAGATTACTGATTTGAGACTATTTTTCTCTTCTAATATTAGTGTTAATGCTATAAATTTTCCCCTAAGTATTTTTAGCAGAATATCACAATGTTGAGATCCAGTATTTTTATTTCCATTCAATACAAAATATCTTACCATTTTTCTTTTACTTCTTTAACCCATGAGGCATTTAGGAGTGTGCTGTTTAATTTACAAACATTTGAGGAGTTTTCAGATATCTCAGTTAGTAATTTCTAAAATAATTGCACTTTAGTTAAAGTCTAATCTTATTTGATTTACATTTATTTAATTTGCTCAGATTTAGTTTTTGGGGGGCCCAGAATATGACTTAACATTGTGAATATCCCATATCCATAATGTGTATTATTTTTAAGTACATTTAAAATGTTCACAGTGGTATTCTAGGCTCCATATTCTTGGCTGATAGTTTTAGACTTAGGTCAATGTTATTCAAAGTTTATCAGGATTTGGGTTTTGCTGTTGCTATAGTTACCTGCAATTTGCCATTGGCTTCAAATTCCTTTAGATTTTTTCTTTTATTTTTTTGACAGGGTCTTGTTCCATTGCTCAGGCTGGAGTGCAGTGATGCCATCACTGCTCACTGATGTCTCAACCTCCAGGGCTCAAGTGATCATCACGCCTCATGCTCCCAAGTAGCTGGGACTACAGGCACATGCCATGAAACCTGGCTAATTTTGTTTACTTTTTGTAGAGATGAGGTCTTGTCATGATGCCCAGGGTAGTCTCGAACTCCTGGCCTCAAGTAATCCTCCAACCTCACCCTCCCAAAGTGCTGTGATTACAGGTGTGAGCCATTGCACCCATCCTAGAATTTCTTATATGTGCATATTTGGCCACAAAGTTTTCTTCTAAGTCTTCTTCACTCTCAGGTTCAGGATTTCCCTTTATGTGTATGTCTCATAAAGCGTTTGTTTGCGTTCTTGTCTTTTCATAAGAAATAGACTGCTGTTGCTTGATACTTGGTACTTGCTATCCTCTATTGAGAGACAGGGGGTTTCTTCTGCTGTCCTAGTTTAGTCTCAATGGTTGGCAAACCCTGTATTCCTGGGTCTCAGGGATTGAGACTATTCTCATTCTGGGGCTGAAGGTCACTTCTAAATGGTCCTATTTCTCCTCAAGTCTTTGGAATTGTCTAAAGAGATTACCTCAAAATTTTGAATCTGATGGGTTCAGAAACAGTAATCATTTTACAGATTATAATGATTTCTCCTTTTGTGAGAGTGGGAGTTACATTTTTTCCAGCTTCCTATACCCTAAGCAGAAGCCAGAAGTCTATCCCTTTCTTTTAAATAATAAATAATACTTCCATGTATTTTCCTTTGAGTACATATTTGACCTTTTATCATCAGTTTTTATATTTTAAAATTTGTGGTCCATAGTAATTTTTAAAATTTAATGTCTGTATTAACAGTTCAGAGCTTATATTATTTTTCCTTGTTTGTATTTCTGACACTGTGTTGGTTAATACTGTGTCAACTTGATTGGATTGAAGGATGCTAAGGATTGATCCTGGGCATTGCTAAAGGAGATTAACATTTGAGTCAGTGGGCTGGGAAAGGCAGACCCACCCATAATCTGGGTGGGCACCATCTAATCACCTGCCAGCACAGCTAGAATATAAATCAGGCAGAAAAGCATGAAAAGACTAGACTGTGCTAGCCTCCCAGACTACATCTTTCTCCCATGCTGGGTGCTTCTTGACTGAACATCAGACTCCAAGTTATTCGTTTTTTTTTTTTTTCTTTTCTTTCTTTTTTTTTTTTTTTTTTTTTTTTTTTTGAGATGGAGTCTCAATCTGTCACCCAGGCTGGAGTGCAGTGGCACGATCTCGGCTTACTGCAAGCTCTGCCTCCCAGGTTCACGCCATTCTCCTGCCTCAGCCTCCCGAGTAGCTGGGACTGCAGGCGCCCACCACTAAGCCCGGCTAATTTTTTTGCATTTTTAGTAGAGATGGGGTTTCACCATGTTAGCCAGGATCGTCTCATTCCCCCTACCTCGTGATCCACCCACCTCAGCCTCCCAGAGTGCTGGGATTACAGGCGTGAGCCACCGCGCCCAGCCAAGTTATTCAGTTTTGGAACTCAGACTTGGCTTTCCTTGCTCCTCAGCTTGCAGACAGCCTATTGCGGGACCTTGTGATCATGTGAGTTAATCCTTAATAAACTCCCCTTTATATATATATATATTCTCTCCATATATATATATATATATATATATATATATATATATATTCTCTCCATATATATATATATATATATATTCTCTTTATATATATCTATTCTCTTTATATATATATATTCTCTATATATATATTCTCTTTATATATATATTCCCTTTATATATATATATATTCCCTTTATATATATATTTAAGGAGAGAATATATATATATAAGATCTCTATATATACAGAACTAATAATAGGACATATATATGTATATATATATATATATATACACACTCTATCTTGAGAGAGACAGAACTAATAATAGGATATATATATAGGATTATATATATAGGATATCATATATATCCTATATATACTATATATTAGTATATATATAACAATAAGATATATGTAGGATATATGTAGGATATCCTATATATATACTATATATTAGTATATATAATAATAGAATATATATCCTATTATTAATTCTGTCTCTCTAGAGAACCCTGACTAATACAGATACTATAAGTATTTGCTATCATTCCTAATGTTTTTATAATAAGAGCAAGTGAAACATGCAATATCTTCTATTTGCATCAGTATATTACCAATTTTTAATGCCCCTTACTAATTAATGAGAATTTTTATGCCTCAAGTAACTAATTTTCAATGACACTGAAAAATTGACTGAAATTCAATAACAAAAATAGTGTTAAAACTAATGATAACTATATTATTCAAGAGCTTAATTATAGGGTGAATTCAAAGTGAGCATTGAGGTACAGAAAAAATGTATTTTATTCTAGAATATATGCTTTTCTTATATAACGTAACCTATATTCAAAGATTTTTTAATGTAAGTTATATACACTGTTGATTATTATTGAAGTTACTGTTATCTAGAAACCCTTAAGATGCTTAACCAGCTAAACCAGTCTGTAATTGTTCATTTTGGAATTGGATTTTATTGCTGTCCCTTAGTTTATCTACAAGGAGATTTGCTGCATTTGATTTAGTTTCACCTTGTTGAGGCCTTTTTTACATGCTAATATTGTCATCCAAAATACTATCCCTTGCAGCTTCATATCAACTTTTATTTAAATAATCATATTTTCATAAGCGGTGATAAGAGTTAAACAGAACAGGACTGAGAAAAAAGCCTTATGCTCTGCCACTGGAAATGTTTCCTTAAGTTGACATTATTTTATAAATAGGCATGTTTGTATATTCCTATTTCATTTATTACAAATCTATAGTCTCAACTCAAAGCTACTTGCTGCCATCTTTTCCTCACATATTATATAAATGATCTGGTTTAAAGCCATTTTGAAATTCAGATCTGTCTCGTGTATTTCAAGATCCATTTAATAATTTATTCTGAAATTATACTTGTGACTTATGTGTATGTTTGGAGAAAATTACTATAGTAGATTGATTGCAAAAATGGCTTAATTCACTACTCCTCCCTTTATGCGTACCTTTTGCATTATATATATATTTTTTCTTTTTCTGTGTCTTTTTCCTTTTTTTTTTTTTTTTTTGAGACAGAGTCTCTGTCTCCCAGACTGGAGTGCAGTGTCATGATCTCGGCTCACTACAACCTCTGCCTCCCAGGTTCAAGCGATTCTCCTGCCTCGGCCTGCCGAGTAGCTGAGACTACAGGCCCCCGGCACCAAGCCTGGCTGATTTATTGTATTTTTAGTGGAGATGGGGTTTCACCGTTTTAGCCAGAATGGTCTCAATCTCCTGACCTCGTGATCCACCCGCCTCGGCCTCCGAAAGTGCTGAGATTACAGGCGTGAGTCACCGTGCCCGGCCCTGCATTATATTTTTACAGCTTCTTTAATTAAGGGGTACTCTCTGTTTTATTCCTAAATCTGGGTGTAAAAATTGTGCTTTGACCAACAGAATGTGGCTGAAGTGTCAATATGACAGATCTATTCCTACGCCTCAAGAAGACTTGAGTACTAGCACGGTTCCCTGGAATTCTGCCTCATAATGACAACAAGCCCAGGATAGCCAACTGGAGGATGGGAGACCAATGGAGCAGAGCTGGGTTGCCCAGCGGAGGAGGCTATCTGGACCAGCTAGTTGAATACAGACAGATTAGTGATCCCAGAGAAGTTATCTGAGTCTGGGCCTAGATTAGCAGAACTACCCATACACTCATGAAAAATAATAAATGTTTGTTATTTTAAGCCATTAAGTTTTTGGCATGTTTTATTGTTCACCTAGATAACTAACTCATTGATTACCTTTTATGAAAAAGGAAACAATGATTCATATGGACATTTGTTGACACATCTTCCACTCAAATGATTATTCAGAAGTCATCTGTAAGTCTATATTTGATCTTGTCAACAAATTTGTTACTCTAGGCTTGAGGCGACATATGGTTTATCTAATTTTGTAGTTGTGATTTATTTGTAGTGACACTATCAAGAAAAATCATAGGAGTGATTTACTTCCTTATAAATGACTTTTGCAGGTATAAGATAAGGTAGTAATTGAGTACAAGTGCAATATATTTATTATTTTTGCTTTAGAATCTAATGTAATTTGAGTATGATTAATTTTCATAACTATAATCACTTCCAAGGTATATCAAAGGTAAGGACACTATTTACATTTTCTCTTAGTAATTACTATTAAAATAAATTTATATTACTTGGAAAGGAGGGAATATCATTTTTTCTCTCATATTTGTTTATTAATATGTATTCATTTTCTAGATTAACTAGTTATTATCATAAACAGACTATCTGGGCCCTAAGATGAGTGGGGAGATGGGAGAAAGGTCAGTTGCTATGGGAAATGATGGGGGGAAAGTACGAAACACAATCTCAGGAGTCATCAGTCTTCCTTATTAGAGAGGTTGGGGTAAGGTCATTGGTTGTCCCAGTTGGGCAATTCTATGTAGGCAAGAGTGAGCCACAAAGATTTTTTTTTCTCCTATATACTTAGTCCATGGAGCTATAATTTGTGTATTGATTGTGCTTTCTTTTGTGGAAGAAATCTATTATAAAAGATAGAAAAGAAACAGAAGTGTAGGTGTTTTCCAAAATTATGGCATAAATTCAGAATGTTTTAGATTACTGCATTTGTCATCTAAAACATTTGTGTCAATTTGTGTTTGCACATGAATCTATTACTTCTACCTATGCTTTGTATAATGCTCAGTTTATTAAGTATAAAGAACTACTAAGATGTTTTCTCTAAACATTTTAAGACTATTTACACAATTAATAAATTAAAAATTCCAAATGAAATTTTAAACATCTCTTAGATATTTATTGACTACTGACTTAGTGGAATTCTCCTAAATATTTTAATAAAATAATAGCTTTGTGCCACCATTCTTTTAATACTTCAAATAATATAAAAATAAACAAAACATGTAAAAATATCAGATGATCCAAAATTTCTTGTTATATCGGCTTAACCTACTAAATAGTACCCAGAAACTCTAAGGATACCACCCAGCATTTGTCTCACATGCCCTGCAGGTAACTTTAATAAGGCTAAAATTTTAGAATCACCTGCCTATGAGATACTTCTTCATTGGTAGCACATCTATTTTTTCCTCCTTTTGTTCTCAACTGAGCTTTACCATATATTTTAAGTTTACAGAAACATTGCGTGGAAATGACAGAAAGTTCCCATATGTCCTCTCTGCTAAGTCTGCATGATTAGTCTCTTGAAATTGCCGAAATATTCTGTGGCTTCTTAGTCTGGAATAAATGCATCATTAATAGAATCTTATATCTGTTTAAATAAATAAATCATGTGAATTCGAATTTTCTAGTATTTTTTTCTTTGTTATTTTGCCTAGTTAATTTTATTAAAGTTAATAGGTAGAGTCCTCCAATTTCTGTCATCTAGAAAAGAAAATTGGCCAAATATATGTTTTTCAACTATTTTCCCATAATCCTCCTGTTTTTACTCACTTAAGTGCATACCTCTATTCTCCACTGAAAAGAAAGTTTCTTGGGGGTTTATTTTCACCTTACTCTTCACTTACAGCAGCTCATGTTTGCATTAACTAATGTAAAGATGGGACTGTACTGACTAAACTTAATTGAAACAAAACATGTTTGTTGGTCTACACTTCTGTTTTTGTAATTGTGGCTTTTTTAGAAAATGTCTGGTAAGGGTTAACCAAATGCCAATTTAAGATGTGATCGGAACTGAAGGAAATGATGTCTCAAAAATTACGTCCTGATAAAGCGTATCCTTATGCACCAAATAGAGTCCAAGTAAATAATTCAAAGTCATTGCTAAACTGCAAGTTTGAGCTGCATAGTAAATGCAGATGGAAATCACTTAGGTAATGTAACTGGAGATTAAGAAATGTATACTTATATTTGAAAGATATTTCTCATTTCAGATTGAAACTGTAAAATGTTTCTTTGATGTTCATGTAACTTTGATTCTAAGCCCTTTCAAATCTTATACACTGCAAATCAACTTATGAAATGAATACTCAGAATCCTATAGTTCTATATCCTGAAAATAAATATGTCTTCCTCTGGGCCAATAAATGTAAACATATTCAGCTGAAACTGAAATTCCAAATTATGACTACATTCAAACATCTTTCTGAAGATTATATATAAATCAAAATACCCAGATATACATTTAGAAAGATGTTTGAATAAAATCATAATATTTATATATGAATATATACACAGTTATACTTACAGTGTGCATATCTTTTTCTTGGAAAACTTTTTATTTAAATTAAAATAGTTAAATGGTTTTTTTAAAAGAATATTATTTTTGATTTATAGATTGTAATTGCTTTACCTTTGACCATTATTTTATGGGGAATGTAATAATATAGAGAATTAACACTGTCGAGTACAAAAACTAAAGATTTAAACAGATAGCTTTTAAATATACATGCTCCTATTTCCTGCAAATGTTATATATTATTTTACATTTCATTCTTTTTAGCATGTGAGCTATATGATGATTTTAAACCTTTTGATAGACCAGCTTCTGCCATGAATTTTCTGTTGGCACTAACCTCCACATTTGCTCTTCTGTGTTGTTTTTATCACTGGGTACTGGAAGGTGGGAAACTTATTTTCCAAGCTCCATTGCCAGCTGATTTCTGGTTAGGTTCTACCTAACCATCTAACAAAGGGATGCACTACGTCAGAGGTTAGAAAGTGAGATAAAGACAAGTTAGTTGTTCCTGGTTCTTGCAGTGGCAGAAACTGCAGGGAACCACCATAGGTTACTAGGGACAGCAGAAGTATCGGTGGTTCTGGCATGGATGGTTTCAGAGTTGCTGTGATCCAAGGTTATTAGGGTGCCTTCAGCAGCATAAGTAATTGTGATTCCAGCAGCACTGGTAACAGCAGCTGCAGCTGATGTAAGTTTCTCCATGCCGGCTGCTATGGGACCTCTAGAAGCTCTGCAATTTTATTTTCTTTAGTTAAAACTCACCTCTCTCATGTGCTACTCCAACACTTTAAGACATTTAAGGCCACGTCTCTCTCTGGGCTTTTCTCTGCTCTCTAAAAGAATTTCTTTTTATTGGGCTAGAAAATGACTTATAAATGAGAAAAACTTGGCTTATTCATTGGAACAATTCGAAGATAAGACAGGGCATACACAGACCACACACTGTGAACAACATGACTTGACATAGAGAATAGAGTTTTCAGTGTTAGTGTTGAGGAGATCATTGAAGATAAGTCTCAGTAGTAGAGTCAACTAACATTTGATAGGACATCATCTAGTCTTTTCTAAAAACTGATGTTAAGAACACGTAGCATGACATCTACTCTCAACAATTTTTAAGTATATTGGGAAGACTGCTATATTAGAAATGAATAAGAAAGACCTTTTGTTGCATAATAGCTATCTTACTGTGCATGTGTATTTTTGTTACATCTACTCTAAGGATTCACTTCTTAATGGGATACCCCTTGAATATGTTAAATACCCATAAACACTTAAGCTGTGGACTTAGAGCCAGTATATTTTGTTCTAAGCCCAGGTTTCTCTTCTGACAAATTACAGGGATATCAAAATTTCCCATTCCTCATCTGGAAAATGAATTCCCTAATCCAAAACTACTTTGCAGAGCCTTTGTCAGGATCAAATGGGATAATGTATGTTAAGGTGTTTTTAGAAGGGCTGAATTCTGCATGCATGCCAGTTATTATTGCAGAAGATTACTTCACAGCTGGAAATGGAAGGACTGTGACTCCAAAACTTAAAGAAGGTGGCTCTTGAATCAAACAGTGACTCTGCACATAGCTACTTACATAGCTTCTGTGAGCACATTCTCTTCTGTGAGCTGTGAAGTCAGGAACAGCCCTGGAATAGGTGAGAGATCCATGAGACAAATGATAGGAAAGAGGGAAGCACAGGCAAGAGACATGAATTGGCCATTGTTACAAATTATCATCATTGTCCTTCTCATACTCAATCAGGTGGCCTTAGAGCTGCTGCTTCTTGCTCCTGTGCCCTGTGCATTGTGCGTCCTGAATGCCTAAGGGTTGTGCAAGAAAAATCAAAGTTTATGCAATCAACATTTTGGAAACCTTATTGCACATCAGAGCCAATAGGAAAATCTTCCTAACTAAAGATTCAAGTATATCACCCTTCTATTTGTATTTACTAGATACAGATGTCACCTAAGATTCTGAATGATTCGAGTGCCCCAGAAAATTCATCTGAATAGGTCTGAACTAAAGCACCATTTCTCAGATGTATGACCTCTGGACCAATTTAATTGAAATGATCTTTTTTACCTGTTTAAATATCTAATTTCTAAGCCTGAGCCCAGACCATTGAATCAGAGTCTCTGAATGGTGGGTCCTGGAGCCTATAATTTAACAACTAACCCAAGGGTTTGTAATTCATACTTAATTTTGGCAACTAAGACTAGTGGGCAAGGTCACCACAAGGCCAAGTTCTGCACCTGCTCTCTCACCCCCTGCAACACTCTCACTCACTTTGCATCTAATTTTATTGCATCCAAAAATAAATGTTAACCTTGCTTTAAACCAAAATTAAAGACAACTAAGTTTAAAGTGAAAATCCACTAATAAGTAAATAATGGCATTGGCTTTTCTAAGCTTTACCTAGCTCTTTCCTGGTTTCCACCATAGCCACTTCTGCGGTTGGCATTATCCTTCCATATTTCAGGGTTCATTTCACTTGAAATAGGTTTGGGACTCATGCAGTTTCCATAACCTAGAATGTTCCATTGACTCATTTATCTGGTTAACTCCTAGTCGTTATTCCAAATTCATCTTATTGCCATCTCTAAGGAATATTTTCTAGTCTCTGAAGTACAGGTTATTCACTGCCTTGTATATAGAATCCAGAACCCTTTCTGTTACATATATCACATACTATTATAAATGTCTATTTATTTGTCTTAGTCTCCGTAAGTCTCCTAGACCAGGTTCAGCAAACTTTTTCTGTGATGTGCAGATAGTACTTATTCTTGGCTTGCAGGTGATTGGGTTTCTTTCATAATTATTCACTCTGTCCTTGCAGCATATAAGCAGCAACAGACAATAAGCATAAAAATTTTCTGATAAATTTTTATTTACAAAAATAGTCAGTGGAAGGTGGGTCTTAGTTTGGTCCATGAGTCTTAGTTTGCTGACCTCTGCACTAGGCTGTTAGCTAAACATGGCCATTCTTATTTACTATTGTGGCCTCAAATAGAACAGTTCCTGGCCAATGATAAGCACACCATACAGATTCATTGCATGTAATGTGTAATTTGTATAGAATTTAGTTCAGCTGCTAATAAACAAGCAAACAAAGTGGTTTAAATAAGGTGTAGAAGTTTGTTTCCCTATCACATGAAAGAATTTTGGAGGTAAGCCAGGCAGGGTTGATAAAAAAAGCTTCAGTGTTCTCCGTGTTTTCAGTCATGGGCTCCTGTTGGTGTACATACTCTACCATTCTTACCATGTGGCTTTCATTCTCAAAAGGACTTCATTCATGCAGAAATGAGGAATGGAGGAAGTACATTTAAGATGACTTCCTGGAAGTCTGACATACGTCTATGTACATGAAATTGTCCAGGACTTAGTCCCGTGGACATATTTAGCTTTAAGAGAGGATAGGAAAAGTGGATGTTTAGCAAGAACTACTGCGATCAGCTAAAAATCGATGCCCAACAACAAAGGGAAAAAGAGAATATAGATGTTGGTGTTCAACATGCATGTTAATGACTGATTTTGGTTGTTGCCTGGTACTTTGTTCCAATATTATGTCTATGTATCAGTAAACTAACCCCAAATGTCATCTACCCCAAATGGCTGAAATGTGGCAGAGGCAAAGAGCAAATCCACCTCCTAGTGTTCCTTTCTACCTTCTGATTGTGCTATTTCATAAACAGAGAAGAGAGAGACTCAAGCACTTTCCATTTTGATTTTGTTTCTGAGTGGCACCAGAAGTTCATAAGTGAGTGACCTTCCTAAAAATTGTATTTTGTGATTAATGCACTCATACTTAATCTCTTGTTCTACACTTCAGGAAAACTAAAGCAACTGCTCTTGTGCATGAGAGGCAGCCTGAAACATGCATAATTACAAGTGTTTACATCTGTTTCCAAACTCTAAACCAGAACACAGAATTACTCTTGTACTGGGGCTTGCACAGTGGTCTCATTTGTTTATTTACTTTTTGGTTCTTGAATTATATGTAAACATGCACAATGACAACAATGTTATAATATCTGACATCTGTCACATGGTGACGTTAGCACACAGGAAGAGATTTTGGTTTTCTTTATGAAGAGTGGATATTTGATCTTCACCAGAAGAATTTTCGGATTGTAGGCTTAAAAAATAGAAACTTGTTAAACTTACTTGTTTTCTATTAACGAGTCCCTTTTTCTTCTCCCATTCATACTGTACTTGAACAAATGGAACAATATGCTTTTCTCTGTCTCTGAATTTCTGTCCCTTCTCTGGCTCTATGTGTGTCTTGTCTTCCTCTTCCGTCTCTATTTACCTATCTACATACCTACCTGTTTTTAGACACAGACATTAGTAAATAAGTGAATAATTATAAATCTGATTTGCTTTAGATATTATTTCAATACTCAACTTTATTTTTTTTATTATTATACTTTTTCCTTTCTTTTTTTATTATTATTATACATTAAGTTTTAGGGTACATGTGCACAATGTGCAGGTTTGTTACAAATGTATACATGTGCCATGTTGGTGTGCTGCACCCGTTAACTCATCATTTAGCATTAAGTATATCTCCTAATGCTATCCCTCCCCCCTCCCCCCACTCCACAACAGTCCCTGGAGTGTGATGTTCCCCACCCTGTGTCCAAGTGTTCTCATTGTTCAATTTCCACCTATGAGTGAGAACATGAGGTGTTTGGTTCTGTCCTTGCAATAGTTTGCTCAGAATGTTGGTTTCCAGCTTCATCCATGCCCCTACAAAGGACATGAACTCATCCTTTTTATGGCTGCATAGTATTCCATGGTGTATATGTGCCACATTTTCTTAATCCAGTCTATCATTGTTGGACTTTTGGGTTGGCTCCAAGTCTTTGCTATTGTGAATAGTGCCACAATAAACATACGTGTGCATGTGTCTTTATAGCAGCGTGATTTATAATCCTTTGGGTATATGCCCAGTAATGGGATGGTTGGGTCAAATGGTATTTCTAGTTCTAGATCCTTGAGGAATTGCCGCATTGTCTTCCACAATGGTTGAACTAGTTCACAGTCCCACCAACAGTGTAAAAGCTTTCCCATTTCTCCACATCCTCTCCAGCACCTGTTGTTTTCTACTCAAGTTTTACAGGACATTAATAATTCCTTGATTTGATAATAGAAGAATTTAAACTTTCTACTTCTTGGCTCACCAATTTTATTAATGTGGCCATGTGTAATTTGAGGGAGTGAAGACCTTAGACTATTGTTCTTATCCTTAGGTTACTAGTGCTTTTTTCTTAATAATATATTCAAATGGAAGTACCCATTCTATAATCCTTATTATTGTGTTTATTTTTATTCCTCTTCCATTCCCTTACATTTGACATTTATATTAATAAATAAAGCATTGATGTTTATTATGAGAAGATATTTCAGAACTATCAGTGGTCCTCTAACTTTAGGGTACAGAATAATCACATGTGCAACTTGTGAAAATGCAGATCCCAGGTCTTTGTTTCTAGAGATTCTGATCAAGTACATGGGAAATGTGACTAACAAATCTGTACTTTAAATTATGCAGGGTCTGTGGTTCATGCCTTTATAATAATGGGGCAGGTATGTTTTAGGTATGTTTGCCTGCTTCTGTTTATATCATTTTCCTAATGTGAAGCATAATTTGGTGATATGTGTGTGAATGTGTACTGTTTCTGTTACAGTGGGTTTTGGAGGTATTTTCTTTCCTCTCTTCTAGATTAGCAACTTTCTTTTCTTGGGCTGCTGCTCTGAAGTGTCTCCTCCCCACTCACTTTCCTCCCCAACTCCCAGTTTACTTCATTTATACCTGGCACTATCAATGCTAAAGTTCTTTCAGCAGGGCCACTTCACGTTTGCCACCTAGAAGCACATGGTAAAATTCAGATAATGACAGAATGTAGTGATGCTGGCTTGCTTTTCATTCAGTTATGGTTTTGTTATCTTCCTTTTCATTCCCTTGTATTTCTACTTCTTCCTGCATAGCATGTGTATGTGTTCTTGTCTACCTTGAAATTTAATACCTATGAAAGCCTAAATGTTGTTAGATTCTAATAGATTTTGAGCCGGGTGTTTTTTTGTTTGTTTGTTTGAGACAGGGTCTTGCTCTGTCGCCCAGGCTGGAGTGCAGTGGTGTGATCTCAGCTCACTGCAACCTCCGCCTCCAGAGTTCAAGCGATTCTCCTACCTCAGCCTCCCTAGTAGCTAAGATTATACGCACCTACCACCATGCCCAGCTAAATTATATATTTTTAGTAGAGACGGAGTTTCACCATGTTGGCCAGGCTGATCTTGAACTCCTGACCTCAGGTGATCCACCCGCCTCCACCTCCCAAAATGCTAGGATTACAGGCTTGAGCCACGGCACCCAGCCCAGTTTTGTATAAAAATAAGTCTAGTTTTCACCTTAATTTCATTTCTTGGTGTTTATGTCTTACAGAAATGCAATCTCCTGTTGTACAAATGTGCCTAATCATAAAACAGTTGCGTGCAGTACTGTACTTCAAAGTGTATTTCAAGTTATTCACTGTGGCTTTTGTGACAGATTCTTTCAAATGATCATGCTTTTTGAAAAACAGTTCCTTTTATGAACAGATAAATATATGTCTATCAAATACAAAACTTCTAATGTAAAAAAAAAGTCTAAAGTGTTTTCTTAATTGTAGTCTATTTTATTTTTTCTCTCCTTGAAAATTACATGGATTCTTTTAAGAATTAAAATTTGAGGAGTAAGGTTTTTGGGGGATTGGTTGGCATTACAGAATTATTGGCAGTTGGGGAATATTGAAGATTGCCTCTAACACGCAATTAAACCTGGATAAATGTTAGTAGATAGTTCTACCTGGTTGTGTATCTTTTTTAGCCTTGGTAATGGCAGAGGGTTGTAAGAAATGGCACTTTTTAACTTTAAGAATCTTTTTAAGAAAATGGTACAACATACGGTAATGAGCTTTCTTGATGTGGGCTAAGAATAGTAAAACAAGTTGCCATTGTCTTCTCTGTAAGTGTCAGATACAGGAGTGGGCTATGCTCCAATTTTTGCAGGAGATGACATATCTAGAACCAATTCCACACTGGGAATATTAGACCAACAACCTGGAATGAGAACAAATCAATAATTTTTTCTATTGACAAGGGCAGACAGACTCTGAAACTTCTTAACTCAATTACTGGGCCACAGTTTCTAGGACTGGACTACAAAATAGGGTTCAACTTCAACGAAAGCAGGAAGATATAAGATAAAAAATGTTTCTGTATTTATATGCTTGTATGCATATAATCAATATGAAAAACTTATTAATGGCTAGCCATTAGTTTGCATGATATTTAAAATAACATTCTGTAGAGCCCCTATTTTAAGAAATTATGTCTTTATTTGAAGTAAGGCAAAGGTTAATTGAAAATATATATTTATATATTTTTTTTTACCAAATGTATGTTAATCTATATCATTTGTTGTTCACGCATTTCTTCCTTTATTATTATTTTTTAGTATATGCATTTGAAAAAGAATGGAGACAAGGTAATTACACACTTTTCATGAGTTTGAGGAAAAAGTCCGCTTATCAAGAGTTACTAGTTATTCAAGGGAAATGGCATGCTGTATAAATTAATATCTTCATCATAAAGTAAATACAAGGGAAAATATTGTTCCAAAGGGCTAAATTTCAGCACGGAATGACCTCTTAAAGAGAGGTATACCACAATCAGCCAAATCAAAGTGTTCAAAACAATTTTGTAGTATTCTGAAGAATATTACTTCTGTAGATATGAGAAAAGCAGGCTCCATGCTTTACAGTTAAGCATAAAGTTCACAAAACCTCTAAAACTGAATGCTGCTGATGACATAAGTGCAAACCATTTAAAAACAGAGAAACTATCAGGCAAGATATGTTCTATCAAGCCTCCTTCCCTCCTGTGGAAAAATAAAATCAAAAAAAGAGGTCTCCATTATTTTCTGTGAAGGAAATGATTCCACTTTTGACCCTTACCCACTCCTTCATGCGTATTTTTCAAAATTATTTATTCTTTTGCCTTGCTGCTTTTACTTTTATTTGCCATATATCTTTCTTATTCAGGGACAAAAGTTAACCTTTACACACATCAGCTTATTTTCTATGTAGCTTGTTTATTACTTTAAAGGTGACATAAAATAATTAGTTCTTTTTTATGTGTTAAATTTGTTGAATGAATAGTCTACACTTAGAGTTTCTATTTTTTAATATTTATTATTTGATTTGTCACCTGTGTGTAGTCTTCAACACACTTCTTTTAAAAAGTCAATGTCACCCGATTTCCAAATGCAGTAACTGTCTTTGAGTCCTTATTCACCTGGATTTTTGTGTCATCCCAGTATTGATGCAACTCCATCCTTTTAAAAGATTTATTTTCTTGGGTTTCACTGGGTAGAGTTCTCTGCTAGGTCTGTCTCTATACAACTTCTCATGTAACAAATTCCTTCCTTCATTTTTCAAATTATCTCTATCTTACCTGGCCCTCATATCATCTGCTTTCCAAATTCATGACAACGACTAACACTTATTTTTGGTTCAACCACAAATCTGTCTATGCAGTTCCAATCAAAATGAGTCGTATTCTCATATTTTCATCTGCATGGTGTCATCCCTCAGCTTCTATGTAGGGATAGCAAATTCTACACGTGCTGCTTGTTTTTTTATTTTTTATATTTATTTATTTATTTATTTATTTATTTATTTATTTATTTATTTTTGAGACAGAGTCTTGCTCTGTCACCCAGGCTGGAGTGCAATGGCGCGATCTCGGCTCACTGCAACCTCAGCCTCCTGGGTTCAAGTGATTCTCCTGCCTCAGCCTCCCTAGTAGGTGGGATTACAGATGTCAACCACAATGCCCAGCTACTTTTTTGTATTTTTAGTAGAGAATGGGTTTCACCATGTTGACCGGGCTGGTCTCGAATTCCACGTGCTTCTTATAATCACCTACATTACCATATTACAAACTCAAAAATTCCTGTTAAAAAAAAAACTTAAAAGCTTCCCAATGTATATAAATACAATGTGTAAGAAATTGGATTCCCACTTTTTCTATCTACAGAATACATTTTATCAACATAGGGTTCTACTGATTCCTCTGCTGAAATTTAACTTTAAAATTTTGCTACATTTATGATACTGTCATCTATTGCTTTCATATTCCCTATATTTACATATATGTCTTTTCTCCTTTCGAAATTGAAAAATCATGAAAGACAAATCAATTTCTCTTTCTTCTAATTCTCCTAGCCCAGTTCCTGACACACAAATATTTACCACTATTATGGCTTAAATTTTAAGTATTTTTCTGAAGCTGTTAGATATTTAGGTAGTAAGTAAATGGTTCTTTTAACATAAAATCTATGTAATAGAACATACAGGGTATTTAAAACATAAACCACCTCCTTTTTCTCCCTGAAACTTAACACTAAAGTTTCTAATTATTTATTAGCATGAATACAATCACCTCAAAACTCCTCTTTGTATAACCACAATATTGGCGTTGAAGGAATGTATAGCTATCTTCCTATGGCCGACTGAGTCAATGGAGCAGCATGAAAAAGTGTGGAGGCACAGCACAGCACACCAGATAGACAGAAACAAATATTTTATTTTTATTGTGGGTTTAGATGGTTATAACCCATTGGAAAGAAAGTAAATAGGCATGGCATGCTTTAAAGCTCAGCAACAAGCATATGAAAAAACACTCAATATCACTAATCGTTAGAGAAATGCAAATCAAAACTACAGTGAGAAACCACTTCACACCAGTCAGAATGGCTGTTATTGCAAGCTCAAAAAATAACAGATGCTGGCAAGGTTGCAGAGAAAAGGGAACTCTTTTTTATTTTTTATTGTTGAGACGGAGTCTCGCTCTGTCACACAGGTTGTAGTGCAGTGGCGCGATCTTGGTTCACTGCAATCTTCACTGGGACTACAGGCACCCACCATCACCCCTGGCTAATTTTTTGTATTTTTTTTTTTTAGTAGAGACGGGGTTTCACCGTGTTAGCCAGGATGGTCTCGATCTCCTGACCTCATGATCTGTTAGCCTCAGCCTCCCGAAGTGCTGGTATTACAGGCACTCACCACCAAGCCTGGCTAATTTTTGTATTTTTTACAAGAGTTTCACCATCTTGGCCAGGCTGGTCTTGAACTCCTGACCTCAAGTTATCTGCCCATGTTGGCCTCCCAAAGTGCTGGGATTAAAGGCGTGAGCCACCGCACCCAGCCAGAAAAGGGAGCTCATATACTCACTGCCAGTGGGAGCGTAAAGTAGTTTAGCCATTGTGGAATGCAGTGTGGCAATTCCTCAAAGAAGTAAAAACAGAACTACTGTTTGACCCAGCAATCCCACTGCAGGGTATATATCCAAAGGAATATAAATAATTCTGCCATAATGACTTCTGTTCACTTATGTTCACTGCAGCACTATTCACAATAGCAAAGATGTAGAATCAATCTAAATGCCCATCAACAGTAGACTGGTTAAATAAAATGTGGTAGATATATACACCATGGAATACTATACAGCCGTAAAATAGGACAAGATTATGTCATTTGTAGGAACAAGGATGGAACTGGAGAGCATTATCCTTAGAAACTAACACAGGAACAAAAAACCAAATATTTCACGTTCTCACTTGTATTTGGGAGCTAAATAATGAAAACACATGGACAGAAAAAGGGGAAAACAGACACTGGGGCCTACTTGATGGTTAAGGCTCGGGGGAGGAAGAGGTTGAAGGTTAAAAAAAAAAAAAAACTGTTGGATTCCAAGCCTAGCACCTGGGTGACAAAATAATTTGTATACCAAACCACTGAGTCATAAGCTTACCTATATAGCAAAGCTACACATGCACCTCTGAACCTAACATAAAAGTTAAAATATTGTTTTAAAGAAGCTCACCCCACTGTGTATATAGCACTAGACACATGATTAATCTTGAACCTCTTAAGTTGCTCTCCCTAAACCGTTCTAAAGGAATCATGTCAGTAACCACTACTAATTTTACTGCTGAACTGTTTCTGGATGTTATTTGAGACTAAATGACTTAATTTTGAGGAAATGTTCACAAGACATAAATGCAAGCAAAAAAAAAAAAAAATGGTCAGGTTAGAAATTAGAAATGTGTCCATGAGGAGATCCCTAATGGAAGATTTAATTTTGTATATGCTTTCCTCTCCTCAGAAGGAGAAATGCAATGTAACTGATGTGAATATTTCCCTTTAAACTTCTTTATTTTCCTTTATACTCAAATTTCATTTTTATCTACATCAATTCTGATCTAAGGAGTAGCAAACAGATTATGCCCCTCAGAAATGTATTTGGTTCACATTTCTCGAATCTGAACTCTCATCTGCTTCTAGTCATAGCTATAGTAACTGAGAACTAGACCAGTCATAACAGCAGACAAAAGTTAATAGCTGTCTTTGCATATTTGGGTGCTGCACCAAGCTGATTTTCATTTTGAGAACGTGGATTTCGTCCTTTAATCAGACCTTTAATGGATTTGGTCTGATTTTGGCATATCTTGGCCTCAACGGTCATTATGGTAAAACTTGAGAGATTTTTATTAGCCAATATACACACTGTTTTTCCCTAGTATAAACAGCTCTTTCATAAAAAAAAAATCTCTAATTTTTAAAATATTATCTTATTCATGGTAGGTAGAGTGCCTTCCTTTATTTTTCCCAGCCTTGCAGCCCATTTCAAAGTCCTCATGCCCAAGGGATATTCTACCTGGGAACCTGGATTGCTAAACTATCAACTCTTTCTTCTCCAGGAAGAGTTTCAGTATTTTTAGATACAGAGGATTGAGATAGAGTTCTTAAAAACAATTTATACCTCCTTCAGCCATCATTTATTTAGATACTTCAGAAAAAGTAATATATTTAGCTCTCTGCTGACCCTGCTGTATGCTCAGGATTTTGTAGCATTCTATTGAAAACTTAAAAACTTAATATCATTTCTGTATAATGATATTTACAAACCAGTGTTGACTATGGAAAGTCCATGCTCATCTGCAAACATCAGATTACTAAGAGTGTCACGGCCATTGTCTCAAAATCACTTCATTCCAGCTTCAAAAGTTATAATATATTTACTATTCATATGTAGTATATGAGTCCTTAAATCATAACTTCATGAGAATTCTCACCAGTTTGGAAAATTTTCAAAAATTACCAGTATAAATTGTTCCACAACACTGGGATATAAGAAATATGACTTAAAATAAGGACAGTTTTGAAATCAAAGGAAATATTTCTAATCTTCCACTTCTTGACTAAAAGAACATAAAACGCTAGTTATTTGGGGGAATCCTTTCCCTTACTTTGTTTAAGAGAAGTTGTGTGGATTTAAAGGTGCCCCTTCTCCTAAAGGCCACACTGCTCTTTCTCCCTTCCATGGACTACAGGAAAAGGTGATCACCTATTGAGAAGCTGAGTTTAGGATTTCAAAATGGTACCTGCCTAATGGCAAAGGCGGCTATGGCCCAAGGCAGAGTTAAGAGTGAAGGGGAAGATTACTTGGTGTTGGGAGTAGAGACTGTAACTTAGGGAAGCAAAAATAGAGAGAGTTCATATGCCTGTAATTGTGGAAAATACCTGGAAGAAATTGAGTCCTGGGGTTTTGCTATAGCCATTTCTGTAACAGAATCAGCAAAATATAATCTAAAACTGCTCAAACCAATAGCATAAAAAAAAACCAGATTATCTTGAAGGGTATCACTCTTCACCCAAACTGCCAGCTAGAAACCTGGAAAAATCTCATCTCAATACCACCCAACAGGTTGAACTGATTTCCACGTTGTCAGCACTTTATGTATGATGCTCTAAAAGAGTAACAGTTTTTAAAAAATATAAATATTTACCCTCAAGTAAGAAAATACTTGAAAATTGTAAGTGATATTGTTCAAGGACACAATCACTACTGAGAGATAAAAGTTTTATATTCCCTATTGGGCTGGTATGAACTCTTTAGCTAAGACCCCTAACTCCTGTTTATTAGAATCCTATCTTGTAGAACTGCCAGGAAATGTCTGCAGTATCACCCTCAGACTTTTAGGAACCTCAACAGTGAGGCACATATAAACAAACTTACACGGGTATACCAGAACTCTCTGTCTCAAGTATACTTTGTATTTTGGCATTATATGTTTCCAGGCATCTTATTTGAGGAGTGAAGATCCAGGCCAAAATTCCATATGTTCTTACCAGCCTGACCCTAGGCAATTATAAGACTTTGCCTGCCAGGCCTCAGGGTGCAGCGAAGCTGACCTCCTTACACCAGATTTGTACATGGTCAGTACGTTGCAATTTTCTGAAGGGAATTGCAATTAAGGACTCATGTCCGCATGAGCCAGCCATGCTCAGATGCATATCCTACATTCCTGCATTCCTCAGGTGACTCTGTTTAGAGGCCTTTTATCAGGAGGTGTGATGGTTTATATTGAGTGTCAACTTGATTGGATTGAAGGATGCAAAGTATTGTTCCTGGGCGTGTCTGTGAAGATGTTGCCAAGGGAGATTAACATATGAGTCAGTGGACTGGGAAAGGCAGACCTACCCTCAACTGGGTGGGCACAATCTAATCAGCTGTCAATGGGGCCAGAATAAAAGCAGGCAGAAGAAAGTGAAAAGACTAGACCAGTGTACTCTTCCAACCTACATCTTTCTCCCATGCTGGATGCTTCCTGCCTTTGAAAACTGGACTCCAACTTCTTCGGCTTTTGGACTCTTGGACCTTCACTCCTGGACTGAAGGCTGCACTGTCAGCTTCCCTACTTTTGAGGTTTTGGGACTCAGACTGGCTTCCTTGCTCCACAGTTTGTAGACGGTCCATTGTGAGACTTCACCTTGTGATTGTGTCAGTCAGTACTCCTTAACAAACTCCCCTTATATATACATCTATCCTATTAGTTCTGTCCATCCAGAGAACCCTAATACAGGAGGCCTTAACTAAGACTTTTTTTCCAATTAGTACTTCACTCCTAACATTCTCCCCTCTTCTTTCTCCTAATCTTTGAGTCCATAGAACAATCAAAGCCTTTTGTTCAGAGATCCTCAACATTGACAAGGTCTCCCACCTATGCTGATCCACCCAACCTTTACCTGTGCCATTCTGTAAAAACAAAATAGAGCATTAAAAAGCTTGTGCCTATTTTTGCCGCCTGCTAACACTACCTCAGCAACTGAAAAGAGACTTGATTGTCACATTCAGTTTGGCTTGTCCTACTTGACCACCTAGACACCTGGAAGCTGGACAGTATGGTGAAGTACACCGGTCTTTTTCCCAGACACTGCTGAGGATTAACAAAGTAGCTGGGGAAAATTAATTGGGAGCAGGGTGTGGGAGAAGGGAATGTTCCCTCTCTTTATCCAGCTTGTGGTTAACATATCCAATCAAGTTTTAATCTATACCAAGTTTGGCCAACTGCCCACAAGATAATTATTATAGGATGTATGAATTACACTTAGAAGATAAAAGATGTAAGTAGCATGTGTCTATACAAATACAAACTGCATATTCTTTTGGTGTATATTGTCTTTCTTGAGAATTATCAGGCCACTCTCATTGAATATCTCTGTTGAAACTCAGCCAATTCTTCATATTGTGGTTTACAAGGTATGAGCAGCTAAAGGGATAGAATGCAGAGAATGTCCTCCAATTGGCACGAGTGAGCTAGAGCAATTTTTCCTTCAGTGTTGTGGATGACACTCTTAAGCTGAAGCTGACAGATGGAACCCAGAGAAAGGTATTGGGAAAGAAACAGGAGAGATAAGCACATTCTTCAGGGTTCCTGTGTATTAGATAAAAAAAAAGCATATAGTTGGCTACCCAGAGGCCCCCTGCAGTTCTGCAAGTCATCGTATTCATCTGCAGAAGACATTTTAACAACCTGGATTCTCAAAGACGACTCATATTGTCAGGAAAGGTGTGCACTTTCCAAGTCCAGGGCATTATTCCAATAGACATTTCCCAAATTTAATAAGCATACATAAACAAATCACCTGAGACCTTATTCCAATGCAGATTCTGATTCAGTAGATAGGAGACGAAACTTTATATTTCTAAGAAGCTCTCAGAAGTGATGTCACTGCTGCTGGTTTGTGGACCATACTTTGAGTAAGAAGTTAATAGCGTATAATGAAAAGGCACCCTGTGGACTTGTGCGCTGTACAACCTGCAAAAATATTTACAGTGGCCCAGCCATCTGTACTCGAGGAACTGGAAACCATGTGACTTCTTATATTTTTCATAAGTTTCTTTTAATCATCAAAGGAAACAAACAAACAAAAACCCCAAAACCAAAATTTCTCTCACTCACACAATACATTCTTCTGGCCGCTGACCCCTTTCCAAAAAACAGCTCTTTGCTAGCCTAAATTACTATTTTTACTCAATGGAGAAATAAAGAGAGTTTTTTTTCCCCTTAATTGTATGTGATAGTGAAACCATTTTCTCTTTGCACTGGAGTTCGGTTCTACCATTTACTTAATTGATGTAGTTCATCAAAAGGATTAGTTATTCACCATCACTGAAATAGGGTCAGGTAACTCTGCTCTGAATAAACATTCTATTATTTTGAAGATTATTCAGTGTTTTTCACTCTGTTCTCTATGGACAATAGGAATCAGACGTATTTCCTTGAACTGAAAAGATTCCAGGGTCCAATTCTAACTGCTTCATATGAAGTAAAGCCTCTCATCAGTATACATGTCCAGAGGATTATAGCTCACATTCTCAATAGGAGACCAAGTTACTTGTTGTCTTGCTTAGTGTGTTTTGTGCTGCTGTAACAAAATACCATAAACTGGGTAGCTTGTAAACAAAATAATTTTTTTCTCACAGTTCTGAAGGCTGGGCAGTCCAAAATCAAGGCAGACTTTGTGTCTGGTGAAAGAATACTTTCTGACTTATAGACAGCGCCATTCTGCTGTCTTGTCACACAATAGAAAGAGTAAGGGGTCTCTCTCAGGCCTCATTTATAAGAGCACTCATAAATCCCATTTATGAAGGGATCTACTCTACCCTCAACCCAATTTCCTCCCAAAGGCCCCACCTTTTATTACCATCATCTTGGGGGTGAGTATTTCAACATACGAATTTTGAAGGAATACAAACTTTCAGACTATAAGCATTCACTTTATGACATGGCATTACACATATAATATTAAGGCTTGCTTCAAGTCTTCTGGTGGCTACCTACACAGCTCTTCATTCTTGCCTGGCATGAAGCATAGCTTTTAGTGTTCAGCTTTAATTATCCACAGCTGACAGTCATGGAAAGTGCAAGACATAAAATAGCTCCAAAGCTAGAGAGAATCTAATTTACATGAGTCATAGAGCAGAGATGCTTTCAGCTATAATGGAGTAAGAAGAATCATATGTATTCTCTAGTATTACACAATTAAAAACATGGACTATATATGTAAAAATGATTTGCATATAGTAGACAATAGGAGGCGCAAGTCAGTCATCCTGGAAGGAAGAAAACCAAGCAACATGAGCCCTGGGATTGCCCAGTAGTAGCAATAGAGTTGAGCATCTGAAGAGGCCAAACATAAAACATTTAAAAAGCAAAGAAGAGAAGAGAAGATAGCTGCACAGAGAGAACCTTGCACAGAGAGAACTCTGGAGATGTGGAACAGATTCTCCTTGTATTACCAGCTGAGTACTGATCAGCAAATTCTTTCAGGGAAAACATATCAGGCTGGAGAAAAAAAGGAGGCAGAATAACTATCAAGACTCGTATAGTATTGGCAATAGATTACATTTCCTAGAGCAAAAGACAGCAAGGAGCCTCAGGTGAAGTATTCAGGAAGTTACTGCCTCTGAAGTTGGACCAAATTAGTCTAAAGGTAACCTTAGTCCTGCCTAAAACAGCTTCTAAATGAACCTCAGAAGAATCAAACTATATTCAAGTAATTTGACTCTCTCTTACAACAAAGATGAAAAATATTTAAAGGACTACAGAGAAAAATCTATCATAAAAATTAATAATTTTCAAATAATTATCATTCATTTAAAGAATCAGAAGTGCCTAACTCATATGACAAATTCAATCAATAGAAACGTGCTAAGAAATGATGTATATGATAAAATTACTGGACAAAGACACTAAAACAGCTACTGTAAACATACAGCTTGTATCCAAAAAGTTAAAAGAAAGGCATGAATATATTAATGGGAGATGTGGAAGATAGAAAAAATAGGCAAATCAAATTTGTAGAGATGGAAATTACGAAATATCAGATGACAAATACAAAGTCTTAGATGACAAATACACTGGATGGTATCAAGACCAGAAGAAATACTATTGTACAAAATGTTAGTGACATTTAAGACACAGAAATAAAATCTCTTTAATAGAACACAGAGAAAAAAATTCTGAAAAATAATGAAAAATATATCAGTGAGCTACGGGACAAATTCAGTCAGTGAAATACGTTTGATTTAAAGTACTAAGGAGGGGAGAAGAGAAAGAAATTATTGAAAAAAAGATTTAAAAATTTACAAATTTTATAAAATGTTAAACTTACCTTTCCAATAATATTATAAAACTTAAACAGAAAAAAAACATTAAAAACGACTCTAAGACATTTAATAATCAAATCCTTTAAACCAGTGTTGAAGACAAAAATCTGAAAAGCAGCTGGAGCAAACCAATCAACAACAACAACAACAACAAAAAAAAAACAACAAAAGCCACATTCTATACAAAAGAAAAAAAATAGATCATTATGTTAGCAGACTTCTTATTGAAAACAATGTCAGAAATAAAATTAGAGAAATAGCTTTAAAATAAAAAAAAAATACTGGATGAACAATTCAAAGCTTATGGAATAAGAAAAAACTTCAAATTTTCCATACAGAAAAACTATCTTTCAAAAATAAAAGTTAAGTAAGGACCCAGTCCTGGCAGCATTCATCACCTGCTAACTGAAGGGCCCTTGGACCCAGAATAACAAGCAGTGATACCCAGGTAGTACACTGAGGGCCTTGGGTGAGCCTCTGAGACTTGCTGGCTTTAGGTGAGACTCAGCACATTATCAGTTGTGGTGGATATGGGGCAAAACTCCTTCTGCTTAAGAAAAACAGAGGGAAAAGTAAAAGGGGACTTTATCTTGCACTTAAGATACCAGCAGGGTTACATGGCAGTAGAGCACCAAATGGGCTGTTGGGGTCCCCAGTTATAGAGCTGTACTCTTAGACAGCATTTCTGAACCTGCCTGGGTGAGAAGGGAGCCCACTGCCCTGAAGGGTGAATCCCAGATCAGACAGCATTCACCACAGCTGTCTTAAGAGCCACTGGGCCTTAAGGAAACATTGGCAGTAGTCTGGCAGTATTTCCTGTGGCCAGAAGTGGTGGCAGATATGGGGTGAGGCTCTTTTGCCTTTGGAAAAGGGAGGGAAGAGTGTGAAGGACTGTATCTTGTGGTTTTAGTGCCAGCTCAGCCACAGTACAATAAAACACCAGGCAGGCTTATAAGTTTTTTGACTCTAGTCCCTGACTCCCTGACAGCACCTCTGGACACATCTGGCATGTGGGGGACCTTGCTACCTTGAAGTGAAGGATGCAGACTTAGCTGGCTTTGCCACTTGTTGATTAGAGAGTCCAAAGGCCTTGAGAGAACATAGGCAGTATCCAGGGAGTGGTTAAAGCAGGCCTTGGGTAGGATCCAGTGCTATGCTAGCTTCAGGTCTGACCCAGCACAGTTGTAATGGTTAATACTGAGTGCCACCTTGATTGGATTGAAGAATGCAAAGTATCGTTCCTTGTTGGGTCTATGAGGATGTTGCCAGAGGAGATTAACATTAAAGGCAGTGGAGTGGGAGAGGAAGCCCATCTAATCAGCAGCTAGCACAACTAGCATAAAGCAGGCAGAAGTTGGAAGGACTTGGCTTGTTGAGTCTTCTAGCCTTCATCTTTCTTCTGTGCTGGATGCTTCCTGCCCTGGAACATTAAACTCCAAGTTCTTCAGCTTTTGGACTCTTGGAGTTACACCAGTGATTTGCCAGGGGGTTGGGCCTTTGGCCACAGACTGTTGGCTTCCCTACTTTTGAGGTTTGGGGACTCAGACTGGCTTCCTGGCTCCTCAGCTTGCAGATAGCCTTCACCTAGTGATTGTGTGAGTCAAAACTCCTTAATAAATTCCCTTCATATATACATCTATCCTACTAGTTCTGTCCCTTTAGGGAACCCTGACTAATGCAACAGTCATAGTGGTTTTGGCCACAGGGGTGCTTGTGGACACACCCACCTTTAAGTGGCTCATGTTTGGAAGAAACAAACAGAGAAGGGAAGAGAATAAGAGTCTCTATCTGACAATCCAGATAATTCTTCTGGATTTTATTCAAGACAATCAAGGCAGTACCTCTATGAGTTTGCAAGAACCATAGCATTACTGGATTTGGGGTGGTCACTGAAAGCAGACAGAACTTAGATCACAAGGACCAAAGTCGTTTCAAATATCAGGAAAGCCTTCCTAAGAAGGATGGGTACAAACAAGCCCAGAGAGTGAAGACTACAATAAATAACAATCTTTTCAATGCCCAGACACTGAAGAACATGTACTGGTATCAGCATCATCCACAACAACATGACCTCATTAAATGAAAAGCATCAAGAACTAATTCTGGAGAAACAGAGATATATAGCCTTACCGACAAAGAATTCAAAATAGTTGTGCTGAGGAAACTCCAAGAGATTCAAAATAACACGAGAAGGAATTCAGAATTCTATCATATAAATTTAGCAAAGAGATAAAAATAATTAAAAAGAATCAAGCAGAAATTCTGGAGCTGAAAAATGTAATTGACACACTGAAGAATACATCAGAGTCCTTTAATAGCAGAATTGATCAAGCAGAAGAAAAAATTAGCTTGAGAACAGGCTATTTAAAAATACACAGAAGAGACAAAGAAAAGGAGTGAAACATCATGAAGCACACCTGCAGCATCTAGAAAATAGCCCTAAAAAGGCAAATCCAAGGGTTATTGGCTTAAAGAGGAGGTAGAGAAAGAAATAGAGGTAGGAAGTTTATTCAAAGGGATAATAACAGTGACCTTTCCAAACCTATAGAAAGATATCAATATCCAAATATAAGAAGGTTATCAAACACTAAGCAGATTTAACCCAAAGAAGATTACCTCAAGGCATTTAGTAACCAAACTCCTAAAGAGCAGGGATAGGGAAAGAATCCTAAAAACAGCAAGAGAAAAGAAAAAAATAACATATAATGAAGCTTCAATACATCTGGCAGCACTTTTCAATGGAAGTTTTGCAGCCCAGGAGAGAGTGGCATGACATATTTAAAGTGCTGAAGGGAAAAAAATAAATAAACTTTACCCTAAAATAGTATATCCAGCAACAATATCCTTCAAACATGAAGGAGAAATAAAGACTCCCAGACAAACAAAAGCTGTGGGATTTCATTAACACCAGACCTGTTCTACAAGCAACACTAAAGAGAGTATTTTAATCAGAAAGAAAAGGAAATTAATGAGCCATAAGTAGTTACCTGAAGGTATAAAACTCACTGGTAATAGTAAGTACACAAAGAAACACAGACTATTATAACACTGTGGCTGTGGTGTGTAAACTACTCTTACCTTAATTAGAAAGACTAAACAATAAATACATCAAAAATAATAACTGTAAGAACTTTTAAAGACACAGTCAGTACAATAAGATATGCATAGAAACCACAAAACATTAAAAAGTAAGGGGATGAAGTTAAGGCATAAGAGTTTGTATTAATTTTCATTTTGCTTGTTTGTTTATGCAAATAGTGTTAAGCTGTCATCAGGTTAAAATAATGGATTATATGACAGTATTTGCAAGACTCATGTCAACCACAAGCCAAAAAACATACCATGGAGACACAAAAAATAAAAAGCAAGAAACTAAATCATACCACCAGAGAAAATCACCTTTGCCAAAGGAAAACAGAAAGGAAAGGAGACCAAAAAAAAAAAAAAGCCCCAGAAAAAAAATTAACAAAATGACAAGAGTAAGTCCTTACTTATCAATAATTACACTGAATGTAAATAGACTAAATAACAATCAAAATACATAGACTGGCTGAATAGATGAAAAAAAAAGACTTATTTATCTGCTGCCTAAAAGAAACACCCTTCACCTATAAATATACACATAGACCAAGAATAAAAGATTGAAAAAAGATATTCAATGTCAATGAGAAACAAAAAAGAATGTGAGTAGCTATATTTATATCAGACAATATAGATTTCAAGACTGAAATTATAAGAACAGACAAAGACGGTCACTATATAATGATAAATGGGTCAGTTCAGCAAGAGGATATAGCTATTGTAAATATATATGCACTCAACCTGAGCACTCAGATATATAAAGCAAATATTACTAGAGCTGAAGAGAGAGATAGGTCCCAATGCAACAATAGCTGGAAACTTCAACACTCCACTTTCAGCACTGTACAGATATTCCAGACAGAAAATCAACAAACGAACATTAGACTTAATCTGCACTATAGACCAAATGGATCTAATAGATATTTACAGGACATTTCATCCAAGAGCTGCAGAATACACATTCTTTTACTTTGCACATGGTTCATTCTGAAGGATAGGCTATATGTTAGGTCACAAAATGTATCTTAAAGCAATAAAAAAAATTGAAATAATATCAAGCATCTTCTCTGACCACAATGGAATAAAACTAAAAATTAATAACAGGAGGAATATTGGCAAATATGCAAATACATGGAAATTAAACAATATGCTCCTAATGACCAGTGGGTCAATGAGAAAATTAAGAAGGAAATTAAAAAATTTCTGGAAACCAATGATCATGGGATACATGCTGTAAAACCTATGGGATACAGTAAAGGAAGTACAAAGAGAGACGATTATAGTGATAAGTGCATACATCAAAAAAAAAAGGAAAAACTTCAAATAAACAGTCTAACATTGCATCTTAAGAAACTAGAAAAGCAAGAGAAAATCAAATCCAAAATTAGTAGAAAAAAAGAAATAATAAAGATCAGAGCAGAAATAAATTTCAGTGAAAAAAATACAAAAGATCAATGAAACAAAAACTTGGTTTTCTGAAAAGTTTAACAAAATTGACAAATCTTAATCCAGACTAAGAAAAATAAGAGAAGATACAAATAAATAAAATCAGAAATAAAAAAGGTGACTTACAACTGATACTGCAGAAATTAAAAGGATTATTAGTAGGTACTATAAGCAACCATATGCCAATAAATTGGAAAATCTAGAAGAAATGGACAAATTCCTAGACACATACAACCTGCCATGTTAAACAAGGAGAAATCCAAAACCTGAGCAGAACAATAACAAGTAACAAGATTGAAAACGTAATAAAAACTCTCCCAGTAAAGAAAAATGCAGGTCCCAATGGCTTCACTGTTGACTTCTACGAAGCATTTAAAGAACTAATACCAATCCCACTCAAACTATTTTAAAAAACAAGCGAATAGGGAATACTTTCCACCTCATTCTATGAGGCCAGTATTACCTGATACCAAAACCAGACAAAGACACATCTACAAAAGAAAACTACAGGACAGTATTTCTGATGAATATTGATGCAAAAATACTCAACAAAATACTAGCAAACTGAAATCAACAATACATTAGAAATTTTATCCATCATGAGCAAGTGAGATTTATCCCTGGGATGCAAGGATGGCTCAACATAGGCAAATGTGATACATCATATCAACAGAATGAAGGATAAAATTCAATGTTCATTTCAACTGATGCTGAAAAAGCATTTGATAAAATTCAACATTCCCACTTGATAAAGACCCTCAAAAACTGGGGAGAAAATGAACATACTTCAAATAATAAAAACTATATACAACAGACCCACAGCTAGTATCACAGTGAATAGGGAAAAACTGAAAGCCTTTCCTCTAAGATCTGGAACATGGCAAGGATGGTCATTGTCACCACTGTTATTCAACATAGCATTGGAAGTCCTAGCTAGAGCAATCAGATAAAAGAAAGATATAAAAGACACCCAAATTGGAAAGGAAAAGGTCAAATTATCCTTGTTTGCAGATGATATGATCTTACACCTGGAAAAACCTGGAGACTCCAAAAGAGAACTATTATGATTGACAAACAAATAAAATTTCAAGATACAAAATCAACATACAAAAATCAGTAGCATTTCTATATGCCAACAGTGAACAATGTGAAAAAGAAATTTAAAAAGTAATCCTATTTACAATATCCACACATAAAATTAAATACCTAGGAGTTAGCTGAAGAAGTGAAAGATCTCTGTAATGAGAACTATAAAATACTGATAAAAGAAATTGAGAAGAACACAAAAAAAAGAAAAATATTCCACATTCATGGGAATCAGTATTGTCAAATGTTTATATTACCCAAAGCAACCTACAGATTCAATGCTATCACTATCAAAATACCAATGACATTCCTTGCAAAAATAGAAAAAACAATTCTAAAATTTATATGGAACCACACCTCCCCAACACACACACAGAATAGCCAAAGTTAACTTGAGAAAAAAGAATGAAACTGGAGGAATCACATTACCTGACTTCAAATTATGCTATAATGCTATAGTAACCAAAGCAGCATGATACTGGCATTAAAAAAAAAAAAAAAAAAAGATATATAGACCAATGGAACAGAATAGGGAACTCAGAAACAAATCCAAACACGTACAGTGAACTCATTTTTGACAAAGGTGCCAAGGACATACACTGGGGAAAATGTCATCTCTGCAACAAATAGTGGTGGGAAACTGGATATCCATACACAGAAAAATGAAACTAGACCCCTATCTCTCATCATATACAAAATCAAATCAATATGGATTAGAGACTTTAATCTAAGGCCTCAAACTATGAAATTACTACAAGAAAACATTGGGGAAAATCTCCAGGACATAGGTGTGTGCAAAAATTTCTTGAGCAATACCTGTGGGGTATTAAATAGAAAACTCGTTTTTGATAAAAACTCTCAGGAAACTAGTAAAAAAAAAAAACAAAAAACAAAAAAAAAAAAAACAAAGAGGAGAGAGGTAATTTCCTTAACCTGCTATAAAACAACCAGAACAAGCCTACAGCTAACTTTATACTCAATGGGAGATGCTGATACTTTTCTTTGACATAAAGATCAAGGCAAGTATATATAATTTCTGACTTCTGTTAAACATGTGCAGGTGTTCTCCAGTGCACTAAACCAGGAAAAAGAAATAAAACACATTCAGATTGAAAAGAAGGAAAACTGTCTTTATTGGCAGATAACATGATAGTCTTGGGATCCTTAAGGTGTTGCTTTTCTAGCCAGAAACCTCTGTGGCCGTTGGCATCTTTGTCCGAGTTTTGCTCAGGCCTGCTGGGCTTGTTCCATCTACTTGGCCTGGCAGGCTGCACTTGGCTTGTGTTATGGGCCCAAATTCGACACCTGCCAAGGGCAAACCAGGAATGGAATGGTGAGGGGTGCATGTGCAAGTGAGCGCAGGGTCCAGCCACTGTGCACAGCCAGGCATGAAGGCTGCTATGGCGGGGCAGGTAGCTCCAGGCACCGGCAAAGGTGCCGGCTCCATGCATGCATGTGGCTGGATCTGATGCACTGCAAGCAGCTTCTGCTGTGGGCACTCATGTCTGGACAAGGGGAATGCAGTGACATCCAGAAGCTTGGAGATGCCAGAAACTGCAGAGCCCCAAAGAGGGTGTCAGAGTCCTGGCTTGGGGACCCCCTAGGTCTGGGACCCCTAAAGGGCAGCAGCCCTTTTTTTCTCATTGCCTGCAATGTGGTAACCAGTCACGGGGAGGTGGGGGGGGGGGGGCGGGGTGGCGGTTTCAGCCCTGCTTTGTGTTACAGCTCTTTCAGTCCCACTATTCAGTGAGTCCCAAGTTTTTGTCCCATGTCCAGAAAGAATGACATATGCAGACAACTGGAGAGTAAGCAAGGGAGACAGTGAGTGATAGAATAGCCCTTCAGAGACCCGAAGTGGGTAGTTTCTTTCCACAGGCAGGTCCTTCTGATGAGCGCAGCCCTTGGTGGAGAAGAGACCCAGGGTGGGTATCTGCAGGCAGGTCATCCTGACCTATCTGTAGGCAGGTCGTCCCAATGAGTGTCCAGCTCTCAGCAGAGAGGAGACCCGGAGTGGGTAGAGCTCCTTTCTGCAGGCAGGTTGTCGTGAGGAGTGCAGCCCTCAGCAAACAGGAGACTCGGAGTGGGTAGAGCTCTTTTTTCTGCAAACACGTGGTCGGATGGGTTAAGGAGACTCAAATTGGGTAGCTCCCTCTCACAGCTGGTAGTCAGTTATCTCTGTGAGTCTGACTGTGTCTGGGATTTTTATGGTCTCAGAAGGGAGGAACTGCGTGCTGATTGGTCCGTGGGCAGCCGTGGGCAGGACTGGAAAAAAGCATCGTGTAAGTTCTCATTGAGGGCCGTGGACTCCAACTGGATTTGACAGCCTGGCCCTCAGGCTTCAGGGATGACAGCCAGCCCCCACGCTTCAGGGCTTGAGGTGGGGGGAGGGGGCTTCGCTGGGGACCCACTCCTTTATGCTCAGGAGCCTATCTGTCTCCTGCTGCCATCAATCAGGTTGTCCAAGGCACGCAGAGTGTTTGTGCTGAGGGGTGCCTTGCAGGCCCACTCTGAGCTGCCCTCAGCACCTCATTGGCCTTCCTTCCATGCTTGTTAGTGCCTGAAACCCAGAAGGGGCCGTGGCAGCAGGGTTCTGTCGTGTCAGCACCGCCCTGAGCATACAGACACCAGCTGGGTTGCAACAAATGTCTGGGCTTGGCTTCAACTTTGCTCTAAAATTGGAGTGGGCGCTGGCAGTGGGGGGAGGGCAGGCAGCAGGAGCAGGCAATTCTGAGCCTGTCAGCGGGTCTTCCCAGGCTCCTGAGAGCATAGGGATGCCCGGGTACACAGCTATGGCTGGGAGGCTGCAGCTGTGCTCAGGAACATGGGGCTCCTACCCCACCAACTTGGAAGAGGGTTCCCACCTGTTCCTGGCTCCCGCTGGCTCCATGGAATGTGCAGCCCCAGTCATGCCCTCCCTATTGCAGCTGGCATCTTCACAGTGGCCACTCCAGATGGGCCACCACTGCCATCAATAGTTTATGTAGAAATTCCTAAGGATTTTCCCACAGATCTACCAAAAAAGGTAGAGGAAAAAATAGGTGAGTTTAGCAAGGTTGCAGAATAAAAGTCAGTACACATACATTGATTTTACTTCTATATGCTATCAAAAAATAACTCTGAATTCAAATAAAAATACCATTTGCAATAGAACAAGGATATGAAATACTTAGTAATCAATCTGGCAAAAGATGTGCAAGACCTGTACACTGCAAATTGCACAATGTTGCCAAGATAAATTAAGAAACCTAAGTGAATGGTGAGTAATACCACATTCATGGTTTGGAAAATTCCATATTTTTGAGATTTCTGCTTTTCCGAAATTGATATGTTAATTCAATTCAATCACATTCAAAACTAGTCATTTATCTTTTCTTTCAGAAACTGACATGCTGATTTTAACATTCATTTGAAAAGGCAAACCAACTAGAATAGCCCAAACTTTGCAAAAGGAGAATAAAGTTGGAGAATGCATTAATTATAAACTATACTTATTTTAAAATGAAAATAAATATAACAATTCTAAAACTAGAGTTATTATCAAATAAACTTATTTTAGCTCATTGTAAAACTACAGTAGTCAAGACAACATGACTCTGATGTGAAGACAAACATATAAATTGGTGAAATAGAAGAGGAAATCTGAAAACAGTCCCACACATATCTGTTCAATTGATTTTTAGAATAATTGCCAAGAAACTCCAATGGAGAAAGTTTAATGTTTTCCACAAATGGTGCTATAACAATAGGATATTTATAGACAATAAAATTACGCTTAGTCCTTAACTCACACTATGTTAAAACATTTACTCAAAATAGATCATTGCCCTAAATGTGAAAGCTAAAATAATACACTTTCTAGAAAAGGAAACTAAAATGAAAATCCTAGTGACCTTGGTTTGGGCAAATATTTTATAAATAGGGAACAAATACCAAAAACAATAAATAAATTATTGATAAACTGGACCTAATAAAAATGTAACGCTTTTGCTGTTTAAAAGACACTTGAGAAAATGTAAGAAAAGTCCCAGCCTGGGACAAAATATTTTCAAGACTTGTATCTAGAATATATAAATAACTTTTGCAACTCAATCGCAACACAAACGACCTTTCAAAAATCATGGTCAAAAGTTTTGAATGGACACTTTACTAAAAAATATATAAAAATGTCCCACTAGCACATGTACACAATTCTGTTTATGAATTGTTATTAGATAAATACAAATTAAAACCGGAATGAGATACCAGTACATGGCTTTTAAAAAGTTGAAAATTAAAAATCCTGACCAAATCAAGTATTGGTAAAGATGTGGAATAATTGAACCTATTGATATGAAATACTTGAAAAGCAAACTAATCTATAGTTATAGGTAACAGACCAGAAATTGTCTGGGATTGGCTGAAGGGTAGAGGATAGGGCAGGGAGATCAGGAAGGAAGGGTTATAAAAGAGCATGAGAAACCTTTTGGGGTGGTTGATATTTTCATTAACTTGATTACAATGATACTTCTCTAGGTATATTCACATGTCAAAAGTCATCAAGTTAAATTCTGTAAATACTTGCCATTTATTATGCCAATTATTCTTAAATAAAGTCCTTTTTTATCCCCCACGAGGTGGAGTCTCATTTTGTTGCCCAGGCTGGAGTGCAGTGGCATGATCTTGGCTCACCACAACCTCTGCCACCCGGGTTCAAGCAATTCTCCTGCCTCAGCCTCCTGAGTAGCTGGGATTACAGGCTCCCACCACCACACTCGGCCTGGCTAATTTTTGTATTTTTTAGTAGAGACAGGGTTTCACCATGTTGATCAGGCTGGTCTCGAACTCCTGACCTTGTGATCCACCCACCTCAGGCTCCCAAAGTGCTGGGATTACAGACGTGAGTTCTAAAAAAGAAAGAAAGAAAAGGAAAATATCCCATTGGTAGGAGGTATGTCTCTGCAGTTTCCAAGCCAACTTTGAGACAGTAGCGCCATTATACCTTAAGTCAGTAATAAAGTCACTTTATTATGCTTTAATTGTCCTAATCGTTACGGGGGATAAAGTTTTTAAATTTACTTTTTAAATGTTTTAGCTTTCTAATTTTATTTATTTCTTGTATCTTCCATCCTCCCACTGAATTTCTGAAGACTCCTTCTTGCCCTTAAATGTTTTGGATGAAAAAGTGATGTGTTTTGTGATTAAAATCAAGAACATCCTACCAAGACATTATACATTTTATACACCACTGGAAATTCATGTCATAATGTAATTTCTTCTGTAACTTCAAATAATATTTTTTTTCTGCAAATTATCATCAGGAAATCTTTTATAGGGAAAATTATCTGTACTTCCTAAACTAACAAAAAGTAAGTAACACTGAACTCTCTACTAGCAGCTAATATAAAATAGCAATTGCTTTTAATAAATCATCCCAAGAAGCTATTGCTGGCCTTAATGGAGAGCTCATTGAAAAACAGTGGACATGATATAATGACAATTGAATTGTTTCCTTTATTTGGTATATTGGCTAAGCTTTGGTTTTACTACTATTTAGCTCAGATGATATAAATGATCTTTAATCTTAAATTATAAAAATAAAATTAAACTATCATTTTCTCAAATGTATATAGTATATAGATAAAACACAAGGTTAGGTACAGTTGATGAAGTAAAGGCTTTGAAACTCTTCAGTGAATATAACAGAAATAAACTCTCAGTTGTAAAAGAGCCACAGGTGCTTTGCATTTGTTTTACTCCCTCCTCCATATCCCATTTCTATTCCACATCACTTCTCCCTTCTCATGGAGACATTTTATCCTCAATGTTCTGGAGTTTCCATGTTTTTTTCTTTCTTTTTTTGATCCAAACCTTTTCTCAAAACTTGATCATGTTATAAAATCTTCACAAATTACTTCTTCAAGAGAGGGCAATATTTATGTCAAAAGTCTGAATTTGTATTTATTATTTTGATAGGAAATATTTATATCAAAAAGTGAGTTATATAGATATTTTAGCTTTAGTGAAAGATGAGGGGAGTCTTTTATTTACTATTAATTTATTATGTGGCTAGAGTATCATGATGTGGGGTGAGAGAAGTTTGGATGTATCAAATAGGCAGGTGGACTTTGCTACTATAAATGAAGTCACACAATATAGTTGGTCCTGCACTCTGCCTGTGTGGATGGATAAGAAATATAAAGATGTTCGTTCCTGAGACCTGAAAATTAGGTATCTTCTGATCCAGAAGTTGACCTAAAGTGTAATTGTTTGTAAAATGAAAGAGTTTAAGCTGCCCTCCTAATTCACATTTATTTTCTACAGGTTTTGTGAAGGGAAAAGATGATATGATTCTATTGCACTATATCAATTTTGTAGTACCTTTTATTTATTTATGTTTACTAGGAAAAAAAAAAAACCCAGGTGACTTCTGAGGCCTTCAGAATCACTGCTCTGAGTTCAACTGACAGACCTCTAGATTACATTTGTATTTTCAAATTAGCCAGCTTTCTATGATGGTTATCTAAAAATAGAAGGAAGAAAATGAAAACAAAGTTTTTTAAAACTCCCTTGTGATATCAGGTAATAATTTAAAAAGTTTTATTCTCACTCTTTCTGGAGTACATTCTAATATGGAATTTGATACCACTTAAAATTGAATTTTTTATGGGAGGGAGAAATAAGATTTCCACATTTCCTTTGATATTTGCATATTTTATTTCCTGTTAGATTTGATTATGTTTTTCCTTCCTGTTTCTTGAATATTGATTTTCTGTCTCTATATGGAAGAACAAACACTGAATGTGCACAAAAGAACACTGCTCTAGGTTCTTGAGAAACATTAATAAATGAAACAAAAATATTCCTCTGCAATGTACATTCTAGAGTTTTTTCTTGAGTATTCTTAGCAAGCAGAGCTAACATTTATTATTTTAGGAATGCTATTTTCAGAGAACACTGAAATAAATTAGATTTTATTTTAATTGAAAGGGCTCTTTTTATCTGCCTCATGTCTGTTAAAATATAATTTTCAGGCAGGTAAAATTGTGACTCTCATAGTAACATGAAATGAACAGTTGTCAAAGATTTTATTTAACCCACTAATTAATGAGGAATAGAGTAAGATGTTAGGACTAATTCAAATGTGAATTATCAAGATTGATCTTCTGTACAAGATTCATTTGCATTGCCATGAGCAGGAATCATTTCCAGGAAATATTTGCATTATTTCGGGTTCTCCAGGTTAACTTCTGTCTATCACAGATGGATACCTCTGTAGAATTAGATAATCCCAGAGGAGCAGTTATACAATGCTCAGCATTCCATTCAAAGGACACTCAGTGATCTCTTTCTCTCATTTCAAACTCTTGCACAAATTTTCCTGACTTAGCATATTTGCCATTATACTGGTGCTATTACAATTTTGCTAAGCCTCATTAAAGTATCACACTTGATAATTAGAAAAAAAATTTTATTATGACTTTTAAAAATTGGTTCATCTGAAATTGAATTTAACTGAAAGACAAAATAAGTGAATTCTAGAGACAAAGGCTTTGAGAATTACTTACTTTAGACTGCAATTCATTTGTTTAAATTATAGCATCCAGATTCTCAACCAATTAGTGGAGTGAGACTCCATCTGAAGTAAATGTTGATGCCTGGGAGGTAAAGTTGTTAACTACTCCCCTAAATTATCATAACTTTAGCCAATTTGAAAAAATACAACGAAAAAATTTCCTTACTAAATTTTAATCACTCTAAAGTTCAGGGTATTATATCAAAAAGTAATCATAACCACTTATCTCTTATTTTGCCTCACTGATTTTTCCCTATTTATTTTTACAGGTCAATAACTAGAGCATGCAAAATAATTCTTCAATTTCCTGTGTGTGCTTTTCTCGTGAAACCAAGTAGTTTAAGTACTATGAAAGTAGCTATATTTTGAATTTTATATTTACTGCTTAAAAGAGTAGATGTAAATACTTTTTAAAAGCAGATTTCTTTCTAACAGTTGCTTTTGTTTTTCTTGGTAACTCTTGAATATTGTCAATCCTATGTCAACATTTAAGTTTAAAAAAAGCTCTTCTTAGATTTTAGTTTTCTGTTACAATTATTTTATTCCTATTTTAGACATGACTGTAATCTGTAGTTTTGCACAATTTCATGACCTATTTTTGTTTATATTTTTCTGTATTATCCGGTGAATACATCAGTTTGAAGAGATAAACTTTCATCCTGTCATGAGTAATACCTACTCAAAAACGTAGCAGTATCACGTTACCCATATCTCCCCACATCAAGTTCAGTGCAGACCCAGTAATTTCTTTCTCCCTACAACAAAATGGAGTTAATCCATCTTGTCCACTAACACAAAGTACATGAAATATTTCACAGGCAATTAAAGTGACAGAAAAATATATAACTCTCGCCGGAACCAATTTGGGATGCACCTTGTGAGCTGCTTTCTCGGGCACCTCTGCACCAACTTTGTTTCTCTGCTCTGCCACTGTACAGTAGTTTCATTTCAAGTCACGGATTCTGGATACCAACCAAGCTGGCAAATGAAAAATAACACAGCCAGGGCCATTTCACCCACCAGTGATCTCTGTCTGTGAGATAATTCCTCCCTGAGGTTTCTTTCTCTCCACTACTGTGTTCTTAAAGGCCTAACACAGGGCAGCGGACTGGTGCCACTGTCTAAGGTTTCAATTAAGACGTGGAGATATCAAAGAAGTAACAAACAGGCCTCCACAACAATGCCTCATGGTTTGCTCTCAGTTCTGGTTAAGAGATGGCAAGATACTTGAAAAATGTAGTTCATTAATCCTCACAACAGACCCCGGAGGTTGAGAGGACAGAAATGGAGCCAGCAACAGGATCGAGTTTGAATAGCTTCTCTGTTGGTTGTGTACATTGGGAGCTGACTGTGAAATCTATGTGGACATACTGAACCCTATGGTTAACCTCATGGTGCAAATGTGTTGATCAAAGGCACTCTGTCAGTATCTGATTAAGAGCCATGTAAGAACACTGAAGACATTTCCTTCTGCTTAACAACTCTGATTACAGGGGGCTCCTGGAGTGAGTTTTCCTGTAAGCAGTCAAGCAGGTCCCTGGGCTCCAGCTGTAGCTATAGGGTTTCCCAATGGCAGAGCTTCCTGTTGCTGAAGGCTTCAATTCATTCACAGCTTGTAAATCAGTAGCCTGTAAATCAACAGATTGAGCTACTACTGTTTAAAACACAGTTTCCTCAACAAGCTTCCTTCTGGTTTTGTTTTCATATATCAAGGGTATGAAAAAAAAGTGTCCAAATTTTAACACCTGGACCGATGGGGTCTCAGCAGGAGAGGTATGTTGCACTAAGCTCTGCAGTTTTGTTTTTGTTTCAGCGGAGCAAGGACTTAGTGACTAAAATCAAGACAGCATTTCCTTAGAGAAATGACAGGGGACAATTTTAGAAAACTGAAAATTTCTTATGCTGCATGCACCGCAGCAATTTTTAATGTCCGATAAGAGGTACAACAAAAAGCTAAAACTGGAATGAGAATCACCACATTAATTGTTTGACTCTCCAGTATTAAACATGTATAGATACCATTTTGAAATTGATCTGAAGTGTTTAATCAAACTATTTTGAACATTTTATATGGCTTAAAGGCTGTTAAAACTGAATCAACAGCAAAAGGACTGATTAATTGCAGAAAATCTTCTATTATTAATGATTAATTGTACAGAAAGCTATACATCAAGAAAGCTAACTGAAAATGTGTCAAACATCTAAATTATGGCTTCATCTATTATTACTAAGTATGTTTGTTAGATGGCAATAACAGGTACCATATAGTCTATACAATATTATAACAAGCTTTTATTCATTATGGTCATGTTTATTTGACAGAGCAGAATTATGTGAAAAGTAATTTGTAAATCATATTATGTTCAAAGTTAATATTAAGTGTTGATAATGAGTAGCCAAGAAAATTAACAACTTCATTTTATCCTGGCTCCTATATGAAATGCAACAAACTCACATGGAAACTTAATTTATTTTCCTTGTCAGCAATCTGGAACTATCAATATATTGATTCTATTTATATGATTGTCTCTAGGTTCTATGAGAACCGTAGGGAAGAGAATTTGGGAACTAATCCTTTGAATAACATTATTATTATTATCCTTTAAGCAGACTTGGATTTGAGGGCTGATCCAGGTTCTGGGAAATGAGTCTTTATAAGCCAGAAATCTCCCTCTGAGATAGGATAGAGATGATGTCTTGCTCCATTTTGGTAAGAAAGGCTAAGAGCGACACAAATGTTCACACACTAGTAGCTCCCAGCATTGCCCTTGGGGGACTTGGTTGAACTTTTTAGACAGGGAAGTATTATTTCCTAGGAAAACACTACATAGTGAAGGTCAAAATGGGTAAGTTAGGAGGCAAATATTACTTGGAGGTACAAAGGTTTTCTTTTAGCACAAAGGAGCTGAAACTCAAGAGTCAGAAGAGCTTAGTGGCAACATTTGGAGGCAAGTGGCAAATACACTATTCCCAACCTTTGGGGAAAGGAAAGCACAAGACATAAAAAATATCCCTTCCTAGTGAACAAAAGTGAGAATTACAATTAACATCCAGAAATTACCATCCTAAAGAAAGGGAAGTGGAATAAAATTTCAGGAATAAGTTTAGATGGTATTGGAACTCACGGCATCCCTCACGAAAGCTGAACACTAGCTATTATGTCTTATGGTTGATATTGCCTGACAAACAGCTATATATTCCTATTAATTCAGTTTGAAAATGAAAGCAGTCATATATTTTTCCACCTATCAGTTTCCCATGCTAATCTTTATCAAATTGTTTCCCTCTGTCCTCAAACCCTCTCTACATTTCTACCCAACACATTAGCCATTCATTTTTTTTTTTTCGGAACTCCCATTCTTCCCCAAAGGGACCACAAATACATACCTAAGAAGTATAGACTTAGGAAAAGAGAGAAGCATTTTGCAGATGCCTGCAGGAGAGAGGCTAGATTTGATTTAGATAGCTTAAGGACCTAGAACTAGGACAAATAATTAGTAGGTATAGGAAAGCAAAGTTGTCTCAGGACAAAGCTATATTTGAGTTATTAAATTTGGAAATATCTAATTTACAATTAGTTACTTCCTATCACTGGAAGCATGTTATAAAAGTGTAGTGGCCAATTACTATCAGTATGTTGTAGAATAAAGTCCCTTCCTAAAATGAAAGTCGGCAATGCAATTTTAAAAATTCACTTTTAATAGGTAAACATTATTAGAGTAACAAATCAAATCAGTTTCAAAACATAATTTGTGGATACTTACACACTTGTAGTCATTGCTGTCAGTTACTGTCACATTAAAACAATTATCCAAAAATCATGAAAATTTCTTGCTGCAACATTTAGTATTATTGTACCCTCATAAGTCCTCAATTAATTGTAAATAAATTTGTTAGCAGCAGCCTTATTTGTATTTGATTTGGGCTCAGAATACTTTTCAGACAATGGAAAGGTTGTTGATAGCCCACAAGCATAGAAAAAGTAATCTTAGGAAGCATGACTAAGTATTCAAATTACCAATACCATGATTCCAGATCTTGATAATTTTACTGTGAATCCACGTACCTAAGCCTTCTAGTTTATGAATTTTACTTTTTAGTTTCATGACTGAAGTAGGTAACCTGACAAAATTTAAGGACATTTAGAAATATGTACTTTGCTGGAACCAGTTGTGATGTATCTTCACTTGGGAAGAAGTGGCTTTTGCCAGCTGGGAAGAGCTCAAGGTTCTCCTGCCTCTGTTTCAGAGCCCCTGGTGATTTGAGGACTGATTCATGTTCAGTTCCCCGGAGAATATAGTTAAATTGAGAAAAAAACAATCATCATAAATCATATATGATGTCTCAAGACGTAACATTTTTCACATAACTCAGAGGCTACTCCAGTCATGACACTTGAATGACATACAATAATAAGGCACAGGGACCTCCAATTATCAGATCAAGGTGGTCTCAGAAAATGGTAGTGTTTTTTTTTTTAAATTGCAATATGTGGCTAAAACATTGTGATTAAACACTAGGTCAAGTTAGCAGAGAAACCATCTCATCTTAATCCCTATACAACTCATTAAATTGAGATTTCAGCAAAATGTAACAGAATTATAGGAAGAATCACATAAAGTGACTCAGAAATGGGAAATACTTGCGGCATCAGATCTCTGCTTTAAGGGTTTTTAAAAATCTCTTATATACAACTTTATTATAGAGATAAAACATTATAGAGGACTGGGTAGTACCTTCAAAAGTAATAGCTCAAATTTCCATGCATTTTCTTCAGTTGTTTAGATCTCATAAACTAAATATTTTCTTTAATTGTCAAAGATTTGTACATGTTACAACTATACACATATATACATTACAAAAAATATTCTTAGGTCTTGGTAAAATTCTAACTATTAGATTTAAGTGAAACAGTTCCTTTAAAAAGTCAAAACATTCACTCTAAATTAAAACTAAGAGAGAAAGAGTCTATTGATGAATATTATTTTTATGGCCATTACCTAGTAATTCATGGAGAAAACTGAACTCAAAAATCAGAGATTAAATCTCCAATGCCTCCCTTTTACCTACTCCCACCCACCGTTTGTGGGTCTTCCAAAGCTTTCCTTAACCTGATTTCCAAATTTATCTCCCACTGTTCAGGTATAGTATCATTTTTTGCTAATATCACATTTATTTGTCACTATTTCCTGCACATACCTTATACTTTCTTACCTCTTACCTATTTCCAGCAATTTGTAAAACCAGAATGCTTATGAAAACCATACTCATATTTTAGGATCTCTTTAAAATATCTTCTTGTTTACATAGTTTCATAAATCTACTCCGAAACATAGTGGATCCCTCTTTTTCTAAACTTCTTACGCTTAGTATACAATTCTTCCCAAACTTTTCATTTCATGACATGTGCAGAAAACCAGTAGAACTGTAGAGCACACTGAGGTAAGCTAGGATGTCTTTTTACAAGATTGGAGACAACCTAAATAGAGGCTCCAAAGGCTGCAGATGCAGCAGGCCCATTGGTGATGAATACTTCAGCACAGCTATAAACAGGTATGCCTGTCGAACAGAAATAAATTCTATATCAATTATTTGACAGGTTTTCAGGTGCTGTCTTATATCATTACCTGTATCATTCCTCATTATTAGATTTTTCTTGTCCTATATCCTGAACAGATCACCTACTGTTTGAAAACAGGATTAATTCCTTATAATTGTATTTATTTATTTAAAATTGTGGTAAAATATACATACCATAAAATTTGTTATTTTAACCATTTTAAGGGTATAGTTAGTGACATTAAGTATATTCACATTGCTGTGCAACTATCACCACTATCTACCTCCAGAATGTTTTTCATCTTTCCAAACTGAAGCTGTAACCATTATGCAGTAATTCTGCATTCGCCTCTTCCCTTAGTCAACCACACATTCTACATTCAGTTTCAATAAATCTGACTACTCTAAGTACCTTTTATAAGTGGAATTATACATTATTTGTCCTTTTGTGACTGGCTTATTTCACTTAGCATAATGTTTTCAAAGTTCATTGATAATTGTTTTAGACATGATAGTAATATGTTGCACATCACCACCTAGAAGATTCTCAATATATATTATTTGTTTATTTTTCAATGCTCTTCTCTGAGCACCTTACATTTAATAGCAACAATTTAAGTATGAGAGGATTTCATTTCTGACTACTTTAGAAATTGTGAATCATTTCTAAGTGCTATTGCACTTGATATCTTTGATTTTCTGTTAAACTCTTGTAATAAGAATCAATGTAGCCATTTGTTTGAAGGGAGTTATTACTGTCTTAGCTACTAATTGACTTTAATCAATGGATTATAGTTTATCACCCAAAATTGCATTGTCTTAAATTGACCCTAATAATTCAATTATTTTAAATTAGATTATAGTGTCACAGTCATTGATAAGACTATGTATCTTGATAGTTCTTGTTCTTCAGAGGGTGTCTAATAGACTTGTTAAAATTACTGTTTCTAAAATTCATAATTTTCTTGTAAATGATTGTTAGTTATTTGTTTATATAAGTAAATTTAGTACACAGTACTTCTTTGTTATTGGTTAAACTAACAACCTTATCCTCTGTGCAAGATTATATATATAATCTATGTCATACTAATAAAAACTAGCCAATAAATAATTTATTAATATTAAAATAAAATAATTTTTGAAAATAATTTAGACTTGTGAAATGAATACTGAAAGATAATACAAAACTTAACCATTTTTTTCTAGTGCCTACCTTGTTTCCATGTTTTCTGATTTCTGTTGCTTTTCATTACATAATTCAATGGTTTTCTAAAAAAATTATAAATGAGTTCACCTACATAGTCCTGCAAGCAATCTAGATAAAGTATATTGCTGCAGAATGCTTTTTTATATTGAGGTATTTATTCTTTTCTTATAGATTTATTTTGAATATTTCTTGGCCAATGCACCTGGGCATCATGACATTTAAAGCTGTGATCTGATTTCATACAGGCATTGACTCTAAGAGAATAAAGCTAAAATGATTAATTTACATTGTACATAAATATGTAAAATAGTGATAAGACATTTGACTAAAACAGGTTTATAATAGCAAGCAACAGCAATAGTGACTAAGATAATGCAGATATTTTGCTACTTCACATGCTAACTCCCAAGGTATACTAAGAATTGAGTAAATTTTTCTGCATAAATTTCCTACTAATTTTAGTTCTACAATTGTCGATGACGGTTTTGCAGAATAAAATAAAATTTTATGAACAGTTACAGAAAGATATTCTGCTACCAGGATTTTTTTTTTTTTCCAGATGGAGTTTCACTCTTGTTGCCCAAGCTGGAGTGCAATGGCACAATCTTGGCTCACTGCAACCTCTGCTTCTCAGGTTCAAGTGATTCTCCCACCTCAGCCTCCCTAGTAGCTGGGATTACAGGCACACACCACATCGCCTGGCTAAGTTTTTGTATTTTTAGTAGAAATAGGGTTTCACCATATTAGCCAGGCTGGTCTTGAACTCCTGACCTCAGGTGATATGCCCACCTTGGCCTTCCAAAGTGCTGGGATTATCTGGTACCAGTTTTAAAATAAAAAAGAAAATATAAATTTGATATTTCTAATCCATTACATCGAATGTAAGACTTCAGATTTATCTACAGGAAAACTTCCCTATTAATAGTTAATTTAGATGAGAGCATTTCCTTATTGCTAAACTTCAGGGATTTTTGTTGCATGAGTCATAATATAAAAAAAAATCTACAGATAATGCACACATTATAAATATATTCCTCAAATAAACAACATCATAAAGTATGATTAACTTGTAACTCATCATATTCTACTCATATTCTTAACCATTCAATAAATAAACGATATGGTTTATGTAAAATGGAAATCCGTATTTTTTTACACCCATTTTCCTGGTCCAGACCTTATTCACTTTATAATCCAGGACTTGATTAAAAAACAGAAGCCACTGTATGCAAAATATAAATGGTTTAATATAAATTTAGATGATTGTTTTTAAGAACTGGCGGACTATTAGCGAGAAGTCTATTAAAAATCAGATAAGCTACCGCCAAACATTAAATAAGCATACACTGGAAAGCTCACTTTAAAGCATCAAGGTGATCATATGTTGTTCTCAAAGATTTACTAGAAAGCTCCTGTAATTCCCAGGAATTTCTATGAAGTTTTCACCTCTTATCTTAGTTATTAGCAACAAAGAGTGCTTAGTGAAAAGTGGGAAACCACTGAGAATCTCAAATCTCCATGCGTATGACTACATTTGATTTCTCCTTCTTTTCTGTCTTTCATATCTTGGACTGGGTCCCCTTCATTAGCAAATTAACCTTGAATAAAACAAGAAAGACACTTCTAGCTAATACAGTTCCTAACATGCAGAGCAGACTGGGAAAAAGATAGTGATAATGTCAAGTTGAAAACTGATAACCTGACAATTTATTTTTGCTGTACATTGCTTTTTCATTTTTCAGTTTTGAATAAGCTTTAGGTTAACGTGCTATAACTACCCACATAACTGAAGACTTTTCATTCTTTCCTTGAAAGAGGAGATACAAAGTCTGATATGCCATTCACACATCTCAGTGTGAAGTTCATTTATCTTCTAATCAGTTACAAACTATGTATCCATATATACATATGTGGATATAGATGTATTTATAATTGAAACATTGAAATATTGGACTAAGTAATATTAATGCATTTATATTCAATATAAGGAAAAAGGTAAAATGGAAAAATTAATGTATGCAAATATATAAATATTAAATAAAAATAATTAAATCTATAATAACAGCACATTCATGAAACTGGATACATGGCCATGGATGGTATTTGCAACTTCTTTCTTCCACTAACCATTTTATGATCATCTTGATTTTAGCCACCATCTTAGCATGCCAGGGAGTTTTACCTTTCGTGGTGGCTGTGCCTTTATGCATGAAAGACTCGTGTTATTAGTGGTCCTGCCTGGGTTGGGTTTCTGTACTTTGCATTAGCTTTTACTTTTCAACATGAAAACCACCACATTAGTCCCATTATGTATTTATAGCTCTCTATTTTGAGTTATCCTTGCCAAGACAGTAAGCCCTTCCTTTACCTCTGGATTCAACAGCATAAAAAACTAATGTGACTGAAAGACAGGTGAACAACTCAGCTTCCTTTTCAATTGAGCCTTTGTTGTTTCCATTGGTGAAAACATTCTGATGTCAAGCAGAGTCTGAGGTGGCTGGTAAAGAGGACAGGCTGGCATACGTAGTATAGATTATCTTATCTACTTGATTATTGAGAGCCTCCTATGCATCCTGTTGGTGAGTATGCAATTAATTTGTGCCTTTACAAAAGGTCCATTCTAATATTTCTACTCCAGAACATGTCACTAGTGTTGTTGTTTTTTCCTCTAAAATTCAGCCAAATCATTAGTCACTGCCCATGAAATTATGTAGATATGTGTCTCTGGCCATTTCTTTCAGACAGTGAACACTCAAAATTAATGTTTAAAGTTCTGCTGACTGGGAGGATTACTTATACTATTACCTCCTAGGGCCACTGCCGAATGAATAAGGCAACAGTTTAGTAAATACACACGCATCAGTCACAGTGATGACTATCAATAAGTAACCACAAATGCTTCTTTGGGTAAAATCATTCTCACTACTATTCCAATCATGCTATAGTAACAAAGCTTATCTTGTTTCTGAAGGTGAAGTATTGTCATTGTTCTTTGCTTCTCAAAGACTCTATTATTCCCCACTGGATTCAGGAAGCTGTTTTCAATGGTGGCATCTTACACTGTAATTTGTGGCCTAAACATAATTGTTTTTAATAACGTAGGTACTCTTTTTATCTCTGTAAAGAGAAGCTTAAAATCCTCAGTCAGAGAAGGAAGGCTTCTTCTACAGGAAAAGACACAAATTAATTGGATACTCACCAACAGGATGCATAGGAGGCCCTCAATAATCTGGTAGATAAGATAACCTATATTATGTATAGGTTAAAAGAGTGATAGAGTTAAAGTGAAATCACATGGCCAGGCCAGATGTCATTAGGAGAGCTGAGAGAGCTCCTCTTAGTGGTCAGGGGCTGGGTTTGACTATATAGTAGGCATGTGTTTGGTGTGTCATTATGTGTTATCATATAGATAAAGGCCTACTAGCAGTGTAAAGACATAAGCCTGAATAAGGGCTATGGCAAATTTGAGAATGGTCAGTAGGATTAGAATAATGAGAGCGATTGAAGCTGTGGGAAGACTAATAGTTGACAATGCTAGTGTGGCTCCTCTGATTAAATGTATTAGTAGGTGTCCGGCTGTAATTTTGGCTGTTAATTGCACAGCTAACACCATTGGTTGAATGAATAGGCTAATAGTTTCAGTGATCACTAGTATAGGGATAAGTGGCATAGGTGTGCCTTGTGGTAAAAAGTGAGCTAAGGAGACTTTTGTTTTAAAGCAGAAGCCTGTAATTACTGTGCCTGCTCATAAGGGGATTGCTATACCTAGATTTTTTGATAATTGGATAGTTGGTGTAAATGAATGGGGTAGAAGCCTGAGGAGATTGGTTAAGGCAATGAAGAGTATTAGGGAGATCACTATAAGGGATCAGGTTCGTCCTTTAATGTTATGGGTAATTATTATGTGTTTTAGTACAAGTTGAACTAATCTTTGTTGAATGGAAATCAATCGGTTACTAATTAGATGAATGGAGGTTGGAAATAGTATGGTGGGGAATAAAATGATTAATACTACTTCAGGTAGACCTAGAATTGTCAGGGTAGTAAAAGAGGTGAATAGATTTTCATTCATTTTAATTATCAGGGGGCTTTGTGTTTTGTATTTTGATTATTTTTGGTGTAGGGGGTATATGATAATTGGAATTTGATCATTTTAACTGAATAAATGGAGAATAAAGTTATCATTGTTGACAGGATAACATGGATCATGTAGAAGTATCTAGTTGAGGCATTCACTGCAGAGAGGTATAGATCACCTCAGTCTTCAACTTAAAAGGTTAATGCTTGGTAGCTTTACAGTTGTATTATAGTGTGGATATGGATCAGGTTTCGAAGTATTTTAAGGAGATTAATTCAAAGACAATAGGTATAAAACTGTGATTAGACCTACAAATTTCTGAGCACTGTCCATAATAAAGGCCTGGTCATGTAGCAGTCAAGGTAGTTTGATTTAAGCGTCCAGGGATTGCATCTGTTTTGAGGCCCAGTGAGGTGATAGTTCATGAGTGCAGGGCATCTTCAGATGAGATTAATATACAGATGGGGATCTCTACTGGGAGAGTTGTTTGGTTATCAACTTCTAGGAGGTGAAATTCTCCTGACTTTAAGTCTGCTCTTGGGACTATGTAAGAATCAAAGCCTAATTCTTCAGTCTGTATGTTCATAGCTTCAATATCATTTGCTTTGACGGTAAGAGAAGGGTTGTTAAGCTCATCTGTTATGTACAGAATACGTAAGGATGGGAGGGCAATTAAAATTAAGATAATGGCAGGTAAGACAGTTCAGACATCCTCGGTTTCTCGGGCATCTATGGTGCTAGTATGAGTTAATTTTGTTCTGAGTATTAGGGAGATAAATAGAGAGGACCAGGGAACTAATTAAGAACTAATTAATTAAGAACTAATTAAGAAAATATAAGAGTGTGGTCATGGAAAGTGAGCAGTTCTTCTATAATAGGGGATGTAGCGTCTCAAAGGCCTACTTGAAATGGATGAGCCATTAAGACCTACAGGATTTACCTATAAATTAACTTTTACAAAGTTATGTAATGATTTTACTAGTATCTTATCGAGAAAGTCATAGAGGTTATGGGATTGTCTTGAAACCAGTTTCTGGGGATTCAATTCCTTCCTTTCTCGTTTAGGTTTTCACGTAGGTTGGCTCTTCGAATGTGTGGTAAGGTGGTGGACGGCCGTAAAGCCACTCTAAATTAGTAGATGAATGTTCAATTGTTAGAACTTTTTGTTTTATAAAGATTATTAGTATAACTGCTGTTAGTGAGATAAATGAGCCTACAGATGAGAGAATATTTCATGTGGCGGATGCATCAGGATAATCGGAGTAATACCAGGGCATACCGATAGGCCGAGGAAGTGCCATGGGAAAACGGTTACATTAACACCTGTAAGTACAAAGGTGAAGTGGATTTTAGCGTAGGTCTGATTAAGTATATAACCTGAAAATTGGGGGAATCAGTGGACAAAGCCTCCTTGATGGCGAATACCTCTCCTATTGATAGGACATAGTGGAAATGGGCTACAACATAATACGTATCATGTAAGACAGTATCAAGTGATGAATTAGCTAGTACAATGCAGGCTAGACCTCCTGCTGTGAAAAGGAAGATGAATCCCAGGGCTCAGAATATTGTGGGAGATAATTTGATGTTACTGCCATGCAGTGTAGCTAATCAGCTAAATATTTTGACGCCAGTAGGGATAGCAATAATTATGGTAGTGGACGTGAAGTATGCTCTGTGTCTATGTCTATTCCTATTGTAAATATATGGTGAGCCCATACGATAAGTCCTAAGATGCCAATTGATATAATGGCTCACACTATGCCCATATACCCAAATGATTCCCTTTTTCCAGAATAATATGTTACGAACGGGAGATTATCTCGAAGCCTGACAGGAGAAGGATATACACTTCAGGGTTACCAAAGAATCAGAATAAATGTTGATACAAGATAAGGTCACCCCCTCCAGCAGGGTCAAAAAAAGTAGTGTTGAGGTCACAGTCAATTAATAGCACAATAATGTCGGCAGCTATAGGACTGGAAGAGAAAGGAGTAGAAGGACTGCCATAATGAGGACTGATCAGATGAAAAGTGGTGTTTGATATGGCTGGGGGTTTTATGTTAATGACTGTGGTAATAAAGTTAATGGCCCCTAAAATAGAAGAAACCCCTGCCCAGTGGAGTGAGAAGATGGTCAGATCCACAGAGGCTCCTGCATGTGCTAGGTTTCCCCTAAAGAGGGATGAACTGTTCAGCTGGTTCCAGCACCGGCTTCTACTATTGAGGATGAAAGTAGGAGTAGAACAGACGGAGGGGGAAGTTAAAAGCTCATATTATTTATCCGAGGGAATGCCGTATCGGGTGCACCAATTATCAGCGGGACTAGCCAGTTGCCGAAACCCCCAATTATGATTAGTATTACCATAAAGAAGAGTATGATGAATGCGTGGGCGGTAACAATAACATTGTAGATCTGATCATCTCCTAGCAGAGTTCCTGGTTGGCCTTGGTTTGTTTGAAGAATGACATTTTCTAGGGCTAAAAGAGTTCCATAAACTAGGTGGTTTGCACAACAGAAATTTATTGTCTCACAGTTCTGGAACCTAAAAGTCCAAGATCAAGCTATCAACAGGGTTGGTTTCTTCTGAAGGCTGTGAGAATCTGTTCCATGCCTCTCTATTAGCTTGTGGTGGTTTGCTGGCAATCTTCATGCTCCTTGGCTTGTAGATGCATCACTCTGATCTCTACCTCAGGTGCACATGTCATTCTCCATATGTGTAATCTGTCTCCATGTCTGCATTTCTTCTTTTCATGCGGATATCAGTCAGATTAGGGCCTACCTTATTGGCCTTATCTTAATGAATTAAATATGCAAGGATCTTATTTCCAAATAAGGTCACATTCTGGGGTACTGGGGTTAGGACTTCAATATATGAATGTGGTGGGGAATGTAATTCAAACCATAAGAGAAGACAAGGTATTCAGGTTTATCGACACCTGCCAAATGTTCCATTCTTATTCTCAGAGTTCTACTTGTTCCAAACCAATACCCTAATGAAAAAGAACTGATGAGACTGTGAATTGATTTCTCTGCTAAATAATACAGCTACGAAAAAGGTTAGACTTTGGGTTTGGTTTTCACAAATGTTAGCTGTGAAACTATAACGAATTATTTCTGATCCCTGGCCTTAAACTGGAAATTTAAAGCAGTTAGTCTGTCATTTTCCTTCTTCAGGTTTTCCACTGCACTTAGAAGATGCCAGCCCATTCCACAATTCTTGTACTGTTTTCCTCCCTTATCTTGTATTGCTACAATTACCTGTTCTCCCATAGTTTTCCTTATGTAAGTACTTAGCTATATGTGATCATTTAGCTAACTCTTTTACAACTACATGCTAAGGATAATCTGTGTTGTACTTTCCATTTTTCACTGATAATGAGACCATTACTAAATTCAAATCTAATAAGATTAAAAAGCCAGTTCCATAGTATCATTTTTTCAGATTCTGTTAGGCCTACTCTACAAAAAACTTCACCAGTCAGTGTTAAGCTAGGAAAACAGAAGCACTTAATATTTTCTGAGTATAAAGGTTTAATGTCTAATTAAGGCCTTTCATGATTATTGGGAAATATTCCCAGGATAGAAATTAGGAAGCCAGTGCCTAAATAACATTGATGTCACTGAAGGTGGCTCACACCTATAATCCTAGCACTTTGGGAAGCCGAGGTGGGCAGATCACCTGAGGTCAGGGGTTCGAGACGAGCCTGACCAACATGACAAAACCCGTCTCTACTAAAAATACAAAAATTAGCCTGGCACGGTGGCACATAACTGTAATTCCAGCTACTTGGGAGGCTGAGGCAAGAGAATCTCTTGAACCCAGGAGATGGAGATTGCAGTGAGCCGAGATGATGCCACTGCACTCCAGCCTGGGTGATAGGGTGAGATTCCGTCTCAAAAAAAAAAAAAAAAAAAAAAGTCATACACTGTGTCATATCAACTGCAATAAGAAAGTTTGAGATTCAAAGGAATAAATAGATCAATAGAAAAAGTACAGAGAAATATATAATGCCAGTAGGAATGACAAAATAGCATGAATGGCTGCACTAATAGAACAAATTGACTTTAATACAAAGAAAAAAGTTACAGGAGTCAAAGACGAGGATGTTATAATAATAAAAACAATTCATCAGGAAGATCTGATGATTTCAGACCTATATTCAGGGAACAACAGAGCCCCCAAATTTATGGATTAATAACAGACATAATGAAGGAAGAATTTAAAAATGCAACAATAAGATTTGAAAGCTTTAGTACACCAGTTTTCAGTAATAAGTAAAACGATATAAAAATTAGCAAGTATATGTAGTATTATTGAACAAAATTATAAACAAACTAAACTCCAAGCAAGAAGAAAGAAGGAAATCATAAATATTGCAGTAGAAATCAATAAAATAGAAAACAAATCAAAATGAACAAAACAATGAACCAAATGTTGTTTTTTTTCTTTGAAACAGATCAACATAATAGTCAAAATTGGTTGATGAAGAAAATAAGAGAGAAGATATTGTTTAATAAAATCAGGAGTAAAAGAGGCATCATCATTACTGACCTTACGATAATTGCAAGGGTTAAAATGAAATATAAACAACTTTATGGGTATTTAATAGTGTGCAGTGGAGTGCAAAGCAAACTAAAAATGTTTTTCAGGAAACTATATTTGACATATAAGAGGCAACACTGCAGAATATATTTTTAAAACAACAAGATTCCTTTGTGAAATATGTTTCTTCTCAACTGGCAAATATGTAGGTGAACAATACTCTCCTTAAGAAAACAAGATGCAGGCTAGGAGATCAAATACTTGAGCCAAAGTAACCTAGATTGAAATCTTGCCCAATTACTTTTTTTAAGAAATGGGTTATTGAAACTATCACCTGGTTTCCCTAATTCTCAATTACTTTACTAGTAAAATAAGGATAGTAATATTGAAATAAATGAATATTAGGATTAAGAGGTAATATGTATAAAATGCTGAACATAGTGACTGGTGCCTGAATGTTCAATAAACAATTTTGGTATTATTATATATTGTTAGAGTTTGTTTTAAGTAGAAAATTATTATGTATAAGAAAACTTGACTATTCAAGAAAGAATTTGTTAAATTAAAGCTTATTATATCATTAAAATGATCTATAAATGCAGTTTGTGTATGGGTCAAAAAAGATGATTCATTTTTCACAGCAGATGATGAATTTAGAGGCAGAAAGCATTGCTTTAGAAAAAAGCTGTAAATTGACTCTAATTTATATTGGTAATATAGGAAGCAATATGCAAAAATATTGTTATAACTTCTTTCACATCCATTGTGCAAGAGATAATAGTTGCTACCCAAATAAATCTTGAGAATGTGGAAGACTTGGTACTTGATGGATGATCTCATCTATTTAAAAGATCCTCCTGCCCTCAGTTAGTTCCTCCTTTGCTTTAGAATTTCCTCAAAAGAAATGCCAATATTCTGAAAGGCTGAGGGAAGGGTGAGTGCCAATTATAGTCCCAGTGGAGACACAAACAATTCCACTCATCAGTAAGCAAGAAGGTGAACCATTGGAGGAGCTTCTTATATTAATGCTGCAGTAAATGTGGCGAGTCCGTCACAGAATATTTCAATACATTGTGCATGTCATTTGGATTTACAAGCAACCTGCTGAGAAAGTGGAGACTACTTTCCTCTGCTGTGATTTCAGTGCATTTTAAGAAACCTTTCTAAATTATATCCCTTCCCTAAAACATTTGGTTCTGTAATACTTTTCTTAGTCCATAAAGAAACATTTTATCCTCGAATCTAAAGAAAGGCATGTATTTTCTAAGGATATAAACAGGTTCAAGGTAAAATCTGCAGATTTTGCATTAAAGAAAATCATACCTTTAGTCTTATTTTAAAAAGACAATGAGTAAATGAGAGAGACACAGAGGGAGAGACAGAGGAGACAACCAAGTATATAACTTAACATCAAGAAATGAAAGAATAAGTAAGCATTAAATAAAACAAGACAATTGACAAATTTATTGTTCTCATTGAAGCAAAGTCGAACTATGTTCTTTAGTCTATTACAGATTTATGCTATCAATATAACTGCATATTATTTCACAAATAATCTAACTTCTACAATAATAGTGTTTGGGGAGGAAATAGTAAATGTCACATGTTGAGTTAATGGCCTATTATAAGTCAAATTTTCTTAAAATATGTACCCATTGTATGTGTTAATGATTTTTAATAATTTAAAGTTATATAACATAGCTGTGAACTGAAATGAAATTCTGATTGATTCTTTGTGGAAAATTAAAGTTGCAAAACAACCTAGTAAGGCTTTTCCTCAAGAAAGAAAATACACAAACACATCTTTTAAAACAATGGGTAATTTCTGAGGGTAGGATTCCTTTTGCGCCCTAGTTTTGGCTGAGTGTGTTATAGATGTTCAATACCATCCTATTGCAGGCTTGTTGAAAGTGCACATATTGCTTTGGTTGAGAAGGCATCCTTGCATAGTAGGAAGAATACAATTTATTTCAAAGCATAATAAACATATTTATGTATAAAATAAAATGAAAGAACATCTTCAACTTGACTCACCTTGCTAATGCAAATAGTTGAGCTTGTATTTTTGCCTGCAGCACATTAACATTCACTGAAAATATTAAGTTCCCTTTATGCTTTGAGAGTTCACATAGCATAGTAAAGATCATGGACATTGAGTCAAACATTGTTCAAATCCTGACAAGGTCAGTTATGAGATATATAATTTAGGGTAATCTTCTCAGTCTCTATGTGTTTCAGATTTCTTATCTATAAAATAGGAGACTCTCTACCTTAAGACTTGTTTAGAGATTAAAAACACAATCTATATAAAGTTCTTATTACTGTTTCTGGTCCTATTATAAATGATCAAAAATAATTAGCTATTATCTTCTTTATTACTAAGAACAGAAGCTGAATATAAGTTTACTAAATATATTTTTAGTTACATTTTGGCTACTATAAGATATTGTTCTATTCACTCTGTTATTTTATGTGTTACAAAAAGGACATAGGCTATAATCCATAAAAATAAGAATTCATATATTAAGCAATGCAACAAATACTGAACATTACAATGTTTTAAGCACTGTTAGTCACTAACAAAATAATAGTGGCAAAATAAGATTTTTCACTGTTTACTTGCATCTCATAGTATTTTATGGGAGGATTTAGGTAAACATAGGAGGGAGTTTCTATTATAGTAAGAAAATCACCACCTCACTTTTAGTTGAAAAAACATGTATATATACAAAGAGTTTCCATATGTAGAAAACATCAACTCACTGGTCTGAGTCTACCTGTAGACTAATTATTTGGTATAGAGCTACATTCGGGTCAGATATAGAAGCTGGCAGGTTCTGTCTAGCAATTTCATACTGCCTACCTGTAAGCACTACATTTATGCTTATAGTCATTCATCTAGTGAATCAAATAGTTGTTGAGTTCTTCTCTGTGCCAAGCTCTAAGAAGCACTTTGAACCAAGGCACTGATAAGAAATTCTCATCCTTCCTCTTTGAGAGGGGTGAGGAAGTAGATATATAAACAGAACCTAAGTTTATTTATAATAAAGGTATGAGCAAAGTTCTGTAGGAAAAAGAGAAATAAAAAGAAGTAACATTTTAGATTTTGAAGAAAATTTGAAGAATGTAAATACACGTGTAAAACACAAAACTTATGAAACACACAGAGTCTATGTAAGAATGTTACATCTCTTAACATAAAAGCAATAGTAGAAGACACATTTGATTGAAAGTAGAATTGACACTACAAAAATAAAGGAAAAAGAGATAAGGAACAATAACTGACTCTGGCTTATAAGAAAACAATGAATTGTAATTTTCTTTTTACTGAAAATAGTGCAAGAGAAATCTAGCCTAAGGCACCGGATTAGAAAGAATTCTCTCACGGTACTGGGATAAACTGCAGGAAGGTTATGGAATCACTATTTTTGAGTATTTGCCGGTAAAAACTAGAGATTGTTTCTTGGAAAGAGAAGGAAAATGTCATATGTATTCACATAAAATAAGCTAAATTAACCACTGGCAGAATGCTTCCAAGGCTGAGCACTAACATTCAAATTTTACTGCTATGAATGGCCACATGTAGCAGTCCATAAACTTAAAGAAAAACATACACCAAATCTGACTGTGACATTGTTATGCACAAGATAACAATGGTACCTTCAGGTTTCCGGCATAAGATCATCTTGTTAAGCAGGGGAAAAGTCCTGATTATTAGTCAAAAGAGATAATAGGAAATTGTCTTAACAACAAATGGAAGACACATATGTTGTTCTGATGATAGATATAAACCCGTTCTGTTTCTGATGGTATTAATTCTATTCAAAGGCCACAATGACAACATCTATCTGAGACTTTCAGCTAAGGGTTACTTATGTAATCTATTCTTTGTTAGTTATTGATTGAAAGGACATCACATATTGGACTGAATTATGGCCACTTTAAGTGTCAGGTTCCAGTTTTATAGATGCCTAAGAAATGACCCACAGAATCATTTACTTGTAGATTCATATATCATCTAACCATCAGAGAATGGATTCTGAAACCTCTCTTATGATTGAAAGTAGTAGGATGCAAGTTCTTGTAAGAACTTGCAAAACTATAGACGGGGAAGTACTTGTAGAAAACATTTGTGTATATTTAGAAACTGGTAGCAATTTTTTTGGTTGAATAACATAGAAGTTTTAACAATTTTTCTACCTGCTTAAAAGTAACAAGTTTTATATTTACATGAGTTGTTTGGGATTGTTACCTTTACTTTCTACAAATCCACACTGGATAAAAGTGAAATTACATAGGGAAGGAAGAAGTAAGTCAAGACTTGGGTTGAGATCTATTCTGACAAGTGTTAGGAAATAAGATCTCAATTATCTTCTAAGTGAGTTGGAATTTTACAAAGCCCATTAACATTCTGCCATCCCTTGGCTTGTTTGACCTCAAGTGGATTCCTCTCTTTTCTCCTGCACAGATTAGTATCAAACAAATACTGACCTACTCAAGGCTGCATTTTCTAGACGTCTGAGTCAAGTGGCTTCTGGTTGAATTTGGCCACGAGGAATTTAAGCAGCATCAGGTGCCATCCCTGGCAACTGCTTCCCCAAGACTGGTCTCCTGTGAGTATTGGTTCCAGTGAATAATCCAGGTTCCTGAGCTTTGAAAGCAACACTTTTTTTCTTTGTTCCTCTAGCTTAGCAATGGCAAAAAATTCCTGCTATTGCTCACCTTGGACTCTCTTTCATATTTCCCTGTTTGTTTCTTGGCTATTCCATTAACAATGTAAATGATTCCCTGAATTAAATTATGTCTTTTAAATATTCAGAGTAGCATTTGCTTTCCTGGTCTGAATTAACTAATTACATTCTTGAAACCAGCAGTAGTCCCAAGATAAAAATCCTCAAGTTGGATTTCTGAGATGAATTGCTTGCCTGTATGAGTGGGATATTGTTAATCAATGATTTGCAGGGGTGTTATGATTATATGAATTATCACTTATGGTTGCTTGGAATAAAGTGCCAATCAAAACGAAGACTTCAGAAAATCGAGGAATAGATTCACTTGATCACTCATCATGACAATCATGATGCTTACTTAAACTGCAAGGTGGAATGACCACTTCTGCTGACACTGGAGAAATTACAGAAAAGGAAGTTCAGATCATTGAACTCCACATTCAAGGCACAGAGAGCAAGCAACAAGACAATAATAATTTAAAATAATATTTTACTTATTGAAGCTGCAGGGAAATCATGGTTGTTAGTCCTAAAATCTAATTGCACAGGTGGCAGAATCACCAGTCAAGATGGAAATGAAATTGCACCAAGTATATTATGTAAAATGAGGGTATTAATGGGGAAAAATCAGAACTGCAAGGCATGGGGTTGGTATATCTGTGTACTCAAGTGAGCCTGAGAACCTTTTACCCCTAAATTTCTCTGCAGCTCCTTTGGAAGCAAAAGCAGTCTCTTATTCTTCCTTCTCTGATAAAACTAGAGTTATTAGTCACAGTCTATTGAAAACAGGAGGCATACTTGTGGGATTTTGAAGTCAATGTAATGAATAAACTTCTAAAGAGTGTGCCAGGTATTAAGGAGAAGGTAATATTGAGGTACCCAGCTACTCGGATCTTTGTAATTTTTTACCATCCATGAAAAAGCAAGGAGTAAAACATTAAAGCCCAGTCTGATTTAGACCCACACAACAGGAACCCCATTTGTAGAGAGAAGCAGCAACTACAAAGATTTCAACCCAATTGTTTTTACCATCAAACCTCCCATCTCACCTGTTACTGTCGACATTGGCCATACTCCACTAAAAGCTAGAGTTTATGGAGTCGAGGTTGAACTGTAAGGGCAAGCCTCTAAAGAAATACAGCAAGTAGCAAAGTGCAGAAAACAGCCTAAAGATGGAGAAGAACAAATAGAGACTACCAACCACATTCCACTCTTTTTTTCCAGTCTTCATCTGTTCCCAATCTTTCTCAGAGGAAAAAAAAATGCTACCATCAGCCCAGGGAAGACATACTGTCATTGAGGGATAATCTCAGTTTATCTATACTTCCCCGTGGAACCAAAAGTGTAACACAAACAATTATCTCTGTTTCTCAGATAATGTAACAGAGAATTAAAGGAAAAGAGAATGATTAGCTTAAGTCATAGTTGCTAAATTGTTCAACTGTGTGCCTGGTCACTAGGCCTAAACAAATAATTATATCATTATTCTTACAACAACCATTCCATATTCTCCTTAACCTCTGACCGCATCTCATCTGTAAAAAGCAGCACACCTTACCCTCTGATAGCATCTCTTCCTAGTAGAGTAATCCGGATATGAATTTCTTTAGGATCCATATCTTCAGTGGATCTGTCTTTATTGCATTGATGCAGTTTTCCATTGATGATTATTACTGGACATGAGAATAATTAGAGGCACCCTAGTGAATCCTCTGGATTCATCTTCCTTTGCCATTGTGGTGCAGATGCATACTATTTTTTTCTTTATGATTGGGATTAAGCACTCTGAACAAAAGACTGATCTTATTCTCTAATCTTATTTCAGTAGCATAAGAAGCCCCAGATAGGCAGGCTGTGGTTTCAGCTTCCCATGTAATGGAACCATGACTATAATATATGTGCACCTCCTTTAGGCCATTTATACCTCCAAACCCACAAAGCCCAAGGCTGCAGGGATTAGCAGTAAATTTTCTCAGTAGATTATTCAATACATCAGTAAAAGAAGCCTGTCTTCTTCTTGGTTCCTAAATTTGTACTGGCTAAAGAGAGATTGGAATCATAGAGTACAGTGTAAGTAAGTGCAGGATGTAAGTGAAACTTCAGTGGGCTAATACACTCTTTTATCAACTTTTTCTCCTCTGAGTGAGAAATTGTTTTAAAACCAGTGAATCCCTTGCACATGAGCTCCTTGTTGTATTTCTGCGACTGCAAAATAAGTTTTCTGTTTGGACTATGATGTGCAAGATAACATGGTGATAAATAAGGCATTCTGTAAATCCACTGATGAATGTTCTGGCAAAAATATTTTAGACACGAAAGGCAAGTTTATATATACTTATTTCCATGAAGACACATTACCACCCCACATCTGCGGGAAAGGATCAAGAGTAATCTAATTGTAACATCTGTTGACAGGTTGACAGGTCGTAACCAAATTGGTCTTAAGGAGGGAAAGCTCATGTTTTTGAGACTATGCCTATCTCATATCTCTACCTGTATGTCCTCTTTATACCTGGGTCTATTGAGAAAGCAATGGAATACTTGAAGAATGAGGTTGAATAACATCAACAGGATGGTTCATCTTGTCTACCCGATTATTGATAGATACTTCTGTGATAGATACTTCTGGAAAATATCTAGTCAGTACATGAATTCTTCCTTTTTCCTCATCCTAGAACGCCCATCCATATATATCTTCCAATCCTTCTTATTGCAAATATTCTAATATTATTATTTCATTTACCAGCAAGACAAGACTTAGTCACCACCTATGAATCAATATAGATCAATACCATACATCAACTTAAAAAATGTATGTGTAAGAGAATTACTAGATGTACTGCTTGACATTCTGCTTAAGAAAAGATTTCTCTTCTCCACTGTCTTCTACTACCTCCCTGCAAGTTGGGTTGTAATGTAGCAACTATGCACTGCAAGATGGAACATACTACTGTGCGAATACATCTGTCAGCCAGGCCTATGCTTTTTCCTTTTCAGTTTACTCGTATGTAAGAACTCAGTATGAGCGCCTGTGTGTGGATTAAGTAAGAAGTGGTGAAACTGTAAGAGTATTTGGGAGTTTGAGCCGTCTGCTTACGTTAATTACTTGTGCATTCTAAAACTCTGGAGGCTGGTCCCACATATAGCATTTTTATTTTACAATGACATGCTGCTGTTAATATCCAACATAATGACTTTATGAATAATACAGGCCCAGTATGTACGGGAGGAAGAGGCATGGGCTTTGCACTCAATTGTTCAGTTGGGGCTTGGTAGAGACCCCATTCAGCATCGCTATCTGCCACACAGATTGTCTTCAGTATTAACTGTGCTGTGTCATTAGGTATAATGGCAGAGCAGCTTGAATCTCTTACTTGGTCTGCTGCAGACCCTTTTCTTGCTCTGAGTTTCACTCAAAACTGACAGCTTTATGGATTTCCCAGTAAATGAGACAGAACAGAACAATTTAAAATTCAATAAAACCCCAATGTATTACAGTTTGGCTTCTTTCTTCCCAAATGGCAATACAAGATATATTAAGTTGTCTTTCATTTTGGAGGAATAGCCCCACATTCCCCAAGCACTGGAGGAAGTCACTGATATGGCAGCCCCTAAACTTTCTCAGGCTTTACTGCTTGCACTCTGGTATAAATGTGTCTCATTAAAGTATAAAGAGAACTTACTACATCCTCTTCACCAGGTTAGTTAAATGTTCATATGGTTAGGGATTCTGAGCAGGATGAACATGACACATTTACTCCAACATTTCCATTTTTAAACTTTCAGACTCTTTTCTCTATATAGTATGACAGGGACATTCTGCCATCTTAACCTCATTAACTGTAGGCCATTATTAAGCACAGGTTTTCATTAATGGACAAACCAAACTGTTAAGTTCCATCCTAGGGACTGGGGCTAACATTTTAATTCCTAAATTTCAAGTAACAGACCACATATTGATACATTTAGCCTAAAACAACTTTATATACCATCTTCCTTTTTATTACATTATTAAGATCCTTTCCTATAAAGGACAGGAGGAAATTCCCTCTAATGTTAAGTAATTAAAAGTGTTTATTTAAATTAATATTTGGTTTCCTTAGATTTGGGGGAAGGTCTGATTTTGCTGGTAAGGAAGTTTCAAGGGAAATTGAGGGTTCAATTCTCTCAGCCCTTTTCAAATTTTCATCTGACATTGTTCAATTTACTCTAAGTTGGCTCGAGTCCCCACAAGGTCATTCATTCATTCAACAAATAATTACTAACACCTTATCTCTATAAATACATCAGTGAGAAAACAAACACACACAAATTCCTATCCTCATGTTCATATGAGTAGGAAAAGCAAATAATGTGGTAAATAAAATATAAAAGTTTGTTAGTAGTTACTTCTAAAAAGAAAATTAATACAGAAAGGGCCTCTGGATAGAACATGCCAGTGATAGTCGAATTGCAACTCAGGTAGGTGTTCAGACTGGGTTCTCACTGAGAAGGTGACATAAAAGGTGAGGGCCTTAAAGCATGAAGATGCAATCCATTTAGACTTCAGGGAACTGAGCATATCATGCGGAGAAAACCTCAAGGGTAAAGCCCTTGAAGCCGAAGTGCAACTGACTGGCTCAGTGAACAATGAGAAAGCCAGAGTATTTGGGAGTAGTGTGAGTGTGGGGGAAGAGTCGTGAAGGGGCAGATCTAAAGAGCCTTGTAAATTATTTTAAGAACTTTGCTTTAATCTCAGCCAGCTGCAAGAGATTGAGACAGAGGTGGTTGGAGGGACTCCATGAAAGCAGAAAGTCGGGAGATTATTGCGATAATGTAGAGTAACCAGGTAGGCAGCTAGGTGGTTGAGGACAAAGACATTTCACTCAGTATGGGATTAAGGTTGCAGTGGAGAATTTTTCAACTAAGGGATAACAATAGATAACCAACTCTAACATTCTCTCTAATCTCACTCCAGTCAAATTTCTACCCCCAAATCCCACTTAAACAACTCTTGTTAAGTCACCAGTGACCTGCATGTTCTCTGCCCTCTGATCTCCTCTTGTTAGATTTCAACATTGGAACAACCTCGTGTGTAGATAACAGTTATGATTGAGACATTAATCTGATTAAATTTAGAAACCAGATGTTCAAAACTTGTCTAAAAACATGAGACCAGCCTGACCAACATGGAGAAACCCCATCACTAGTACAGATACAAAAATTAGCCAGGCATGGTGGCGCATGCCTGTAATCCCAGCTACTCGGGAGACTGAGGCAGGAGAATCGTTTGAAACTGGGAGGTGGAGGTTGTGGTGAGCTGAGATTGTGCCATTGCACTCCAGCCTGGACAACAAGAGCAAAACTCCCTAAAAAAAAAAAAAAAAAAAAAAAAACACCAGTTACTAGCCACCAGAAGTCTTTTGGGGAGTGGCACTCAGGTGTCAGGGTGAGTAGAGCTTTTCTTAAGAAAGTTGAGTTCTGGAAAAGTCCCTTTAAGTGGGGCAGAAGAAGCACACCCACTCACAGCCTCCTTTAATTGTTGCTCAGCCAAACATTCTAGTATTATTCATTAGACAATTCAGATTTTGTCTTCTGAACCAACAAGAAGTAACAGTAGCTTGAACTAGAATGGTACCAGTTGGAGATAATGAACAATCCTCAAATTCTGATAATGTTTCAAAAGTTGAAACAGCAGGACTTTCTGGAAGATATGATGTAAAAAAAGAGAGAACTCAAGGATCACTCTTGGGTTTTTGAGGAACTGAAAAATGGAGCTGCTACTAGGTGAAATAGGATCATTGAAAAGGGTCTCGGTGTGAAGAGTAATGCAAAGCTCAGACTTGGACTCTGAGTTTGAAATGGCTGTTGGCACCTGAGAGACAATATCTAGCAGTCTGGAGAGAAGTTTAAGCTGTAGATATAAAAGAAAATATAGACATGGGAATTGCCAGCCTGGAGTTGGGACTTAAAACTCCATAATCAGATGACATAATTAAAAAATGAATGTAGATTTAAAAGAGAAGTCCATCAAAAAGTGGAACTCTGGGTACTCCGAAATTTAGAGATAAGGGAGATGAGGAAAATCATCAAATGACACTGAGAAGGAAAGGTCAGATATTGCAGAAAAACAAGAGAGTGGTGTTTCATAGCCAAGAGAAGAAAATATTTGAGGAAAAGAAAGGGATCACCTGGAAAAAGTTTGAGTGAAAGGTCAAGATGAAGTTGAAGAGTTGACCATTATCTTTAGAACATGCAGGTAAGACAACAAGTGTAGCTTAAGTATGGTTGTGGGGATGTAAGTCTGATAAAAGTGGGTTTAAGACAAACTGAGAGGAAGTACATTGGAGAATCCTTATTCTACCAGTTTTGTTGTAGAGAGAAGGACAGACAGATGGTATAAATAGAAATCTGGTGGCAAAATGGAGGAAAAGTTTTTTTTGTTGTTGTTTTAAAATGAAAGAATTAGTATCATTTTTTGAATGCTGAAAGGAATTTAAAGAAAGGAAAATTAATAGTGCAGGAAAGAAAGGGAAGAAATGGTGGGAAAATGTCCTAAAATAAGTGATGAGAGAGAGAGAGAGAGAGAGAGTTACAGATAGAGAGAGAGGGAGAGAATTACAGATAGAGAGAGACAGAGACAGAAAGAAGAGGACATATCTTCTTTTGTGTTGGGGAGGGGGGTGAACATAATACTATTCTATGAAAATGTATTTATTACATGTCTTAAAAGTAAAGATTTTTCTATGAAACAAAATTAGACTGGAATTCATTCTTTTTCCATAAAGCAGTCCATGTGGTTTCTATGATTTTTAACCCTCCTGCTCTTATTGTCAGAGATCAATAAGAAACAGAGGGCTTAAGCAAAGAGTTTGATTGTAGGATCTATTCTTTGAGGCAAATAATACCATAATTAATGTAACCCAGTCTTCCTACACAGGTATTCCTTTATTATGGATAAAGAAAGTTGGTAATAATTACTGTATTATTAGACAAATCCATGATTTCTTGCTCATAACATTGAAAGCTTAATGGTGTACCAAATTTCCACTTACCTCATTATCACTGGAATTCCCATCAGAGGTCCATTTTAGATTTAATTCCTTAATGTTAAATAGTTTCACAAAGGGAAGATTCTCATATATCTTGTGGGATAGATAAAGTCTGAAGGATTTCACATGCAGTAAAAATTATTGTTTTATGAAGCACCATGTGAATTTGCCATTAGGCACTGAAGTCAACACATCTAAGGGTTTTAATCCCAGAATCTCTTCCATTCTTAATTTTATCATCATCATGTATAAAATTGATATAAGCTCTTAATCCAGTCTATCATTGTTCCAAGTCTTTGCTATTGTGAATAATGCCGCAATAAAAATACGTGTGCATGTGTCTTTATAGCAGCATGATTTATAGTCATTTGGGTATATACCCAGTAATGGGATGGCTGGGTTAAATGGTATTTCTAGTTCTAGATCCCTGAGGAATTGCCACACTGACTTGGCACACATACACCATGGAATACTATGCATCCATAAAAAATGATGAGTTCATGTCTTTTGTAGGGACATGGATGAAATTGGAAATCATCATTCTCAGTAAACTATCTCAAGAACAAAAAACCAAACACCGCATATTCTCACTCATAGGTGGGAATTGAACAATGAGATCACATGGACACAGGAAGGGGAATATCACACTCTGGGGACTGTGGTGGGGTGGGGGGAGGGGGGAGGGATAGCACTGGGAGATATACCTAATGCTAGATGACGAGTTAGTGGGTGCAGTGCACCAGCATGGCACATGTATACATATGTAACTAACCTGCACAATGTGCACATGTACCCTAAAACTTAAAGTATAATAAAAAAAATTGATATAAGCTCACATACCTTAAATAATTACATATCTAAGGTATGGTAATCACATTCCTTAATTAAATTCTTTAATACCTTAAAGTATTCTAGAAAAGGTAAAATCTGCAAAGCAGACAACATAGTACCATCATATGGGTAGGACTGGTAAATACTGATTTCCATTTCCTTTTTTTCTGACTATGCAAAGCTAGTTTTTTGAACTACACATCTTTGTTATAAAACCAGTCCTCTCTAGTGGTCACCTTAATAGCGTGGAGGAAGGATAATAATCAAATGATAGTGTTTACATCCTGTAAAAATGTATTGCCATGAGTGTATAGGAAACAGACCAAGTGAATGTATGTACGGGGTGCTGACAGAATTAAGGGAGATTAAGAGACCCAGAAATGTGGACTAGAAGATGTAACATAGAGAATTAGAAACTCACTGTAGAGATTCCAGGGTCCCCAGATAACCCCTATTTCAATGGGAGCCCTAGCACAGTTTTTGAGAGTTCTTCTCCCTCTCATTTCGAATACAGGTGCAGGATCAAACTAGAGAGATGTTCTCCTTGTCTTGCCTCCTCCTAAAATTGTGCTCCAGGAAAGGTAGGATATTTAAATAGAAGGATCACCACTGTTATGTATTCAAATGTTGCTAAACAATGTTCCTTGGGGATCAGTAAAAGTTTCCTAAAGAATTTGGGGTTTAAGATAAATACTAAGGGATGAAGAGTATTAACTAGTAAAATGAGGTTGAGATTGAAGAGAAGATACACTTTATAAGCAGAGAAAATAACAAAATATAAATCCAGAGAGAGAGAAACACAGAGAAAGAAAAAGAGAAAGAGACTAAGAAGTTGATTTCAGGGCACAGTATGTAGTTTATTAGAACTGGCTTATGAGAAGCAAATAAACTATACTTAAGAAAAAAGCATAGAAGGGCAAGAAGGGACTCATTATGTAGGGCATTATAAAATATAAGGATATGAATTGGATTTTTAATAAAATGAGTAGACACTGAGAGCTTTTAAGCATGGAAATGACGGATATGTTTAATTTTGTGCTTTAGAACAATTTGAGAATGGATTACAGGGGATCAAAACTGGAAGCTAGGAGACCTGTTAGGATACTGTTTCAGTAAACAGAATATAGATGATAACAGATTTCATTTTGGCAGTAGTAGTGTAAAGAAAGTTAAAAACTAAAAATCCTCTGACATTAAATAGGAAGTTAAAAAAATATAAGACTTGGAGACCAACTTGATATGAGAGTGAAAAAGAGCAATATTAAGAATTACCCAAGAATTGCTGGACAGGACAACAGAGCAGCACACATAGCTGGTCTTCAAGTCAGAGAGCACAGGAAAAATGGAAGGTGTGTTGTTGAATGGGATAATTGCTATTTATTCTATGCCATATTTATGCATGAGAGTGATTATGATATTTCAATACAAAATACTTAAAACTACATCCAGTTCAATATCACTGTGAATGCCTCAAAGATAGTAACTTTCCATATCATCTTTATATTTCTAATGCTATCATAGAGCTAACACAAGAGGCATTCAGATGCCAGCCATGCTGACTCACTCCTATAATCACAGCACTTCAGGAAGCCGAAGTGGGAGGATCACTTGAGCCCAGGAGTTCAAGGCTGCAGTGAGCTATGATCATCCCATGGCACTCCAGCCTGGGTGACAGAGGGAGACCCTGCTTCAAAAATAAATAAATAAATAAATAAATAAATAAATAAATAAAATCCCCAAACCTGGCCCCTATCTGGAACTCTTGTATCAAAATATCTTAGCCCAGAACACAGGTGATTATAAAATGCAAGGCGAGTGACATTCAACAAATTATATCCACTATCTGGGGTTGAGAGCTACTATTCCAGGGGGTGGGTATACCGCAAAAAACTGGAGAGCCAGAGTACCTCATCTTGTGGGACTTACAGGCAAAGACTTGTGGGAGCCAGAGAGAAACAAAGGCAGGAAGTCAGAAATAGTTGCTATGCAAATTCAAATGTTCTAAAATTTAAATAAATAATAGTTAATAACACATTGTGACATAATTATATACAAAACAACTAAATCGTATAATTAAAAAAAAAAACCACATCTTCTTTGGCAGTCATTACTCCAGGCAATATCATCTTGGAATAGTCTTAAGCCTATAAGTAAATAACTAAATCATAACATCACCGTTTCCAAATCAGAATTTTCAGCCCTCATTCCTGTATTACACCTGTGACACAGAATATATTTAATTCTGTTGAAAACAACCTCTTGGTTTCCAGATATTCCCTAGTTGTAGAGTATACACCAGAGCCTGTGAGGGATAGTGATAAGTGAGTGGACACATTACTGCAAAAAGTGACCGCAGGACTACAAGAAGAGCTGCAAATATGAAGACAAAACAACATGGGACCATTGTGAGTAAGCAGTTATATTACATATTCTAGAGTTTGCCCTACTATTGGACAAAAGACATAGAAAAGCAAAAAATAGCTATGGCAAAATGAACAAAGGGGACATTAAGTCCAATTTTCCTCAAAGGCCCATGCACGCATCCTGATATTCAAGCATGGTGGAACACTAATGTTCCTAACTTGATATAATCATTTTTAAAAATTAAAATAAAAAAATTAAAAGGCTACACATCTCAGAGTGTTTTACAAAGCCATGATGAAGAGTAAATATTTTATTTCAGGGAATTAAACATTAATTATCTGGAAAGTTTTACTGATTCTGAACATTTAATTTCCCAGAGGGTATAGTATAAATGAAACGTTACTAGCCTGTTACAATGGGTGATCCATTATTGCCTGTTACTAATTAGTAATACAGCAAATTAGTATTAATTTCATTTACCATTTGCCTCCAAGTAAAATATGAGAGTCATTTGTCAACAGATAATTAAAACATGGCTGCAGTATATTTTGTGCATATAGAGTTAATATGCACAAAATATCATATAGCTATTATATATACATTTGCTACTTTATGTAAGAATTATGTGCACAAATAATTTAAGTTTCATAAGTAAATATATACTTTTATCATTACTTTAGAGTATTAGATATAGCTTCTTATACATTTCCATTAGATTTTCATTTGTGACTCAATAAATTTAATTGATTATTTAAAGCATCTCAGAATAGAAGCAAGTACTGCGTATTCATATTTATCAAGTGCCAAAAAATGTGCTAGGAATTTATTTTCTCATGCAATTTTATAATAATGTCTACAAAGTCATTCAAGATAAACACAAACACTCTCTTTTAAAAATTAGGTGAATTAATTAATAAAGGACTAATCTGAATATTTGAATAAATAAAATCTCTGAACATCAGAGAAGTCGGAAGACTCACTGACAGTTTCAAGCTACTAAAAAGCAAAGTCAGGATTTAAAACCTGATTATTCTGATTCTATAGTTTGTCATGTTCAAAGTGTGGTCCCCCTGGCCAATAACCATTAGTAACCTCTGAAAATTTGTTAGAGATGCAAATTTTGTGGCTCCACCCCAGATTTACTGATCACAAACTTTGGGAGCTGGTCCTGCAATCTATATTTTATTCTTCCAGGTGATTCTGATTTAAGCTAAAGTTTGAGAATCACATAAGTGTCAATGCTTCCTTCTCTGTACCATGCAACTCCTGTAATTTAGTGAAATTTTAGCCACAAAATCTTCACAGGCTCCAGTTCTTAAACATGAGCATCTCCAGATCCAGCTTACCCTTCTGCATCTGACTGTATGCTTTGTGAATGACCTTTATGGACCACAGAAGTAATCCTCCACCTTGAGGACTTCTAGTTAGGTTCCCTCAATTATTAGGTGGCAATGGCAGGGGATTTAAGAAGAAAAAACAAGGATTTCAGTGGGCTCACTACTCCAGTTCTCTTCATGTCATGTTGCTTTGGGCTGGCTTTATCCCCCAATTTTAACTGTTTCATTTGAGCAAAAATCCCCAGAGAGTTCTTTCTCTAGTATAGGGTAACTGTCTCTTGACCTGTGTCTTCCTTACCAGAGATAGAAATGATGCCACACTTACACTCCCCCTGGCTTCTATCCATTGTGGTTTTCGTACACCATAACTACACATTCTTGTTATACTTTTTTCAAATTTTCTAATATGAATGTGCCACCTATCACCCACAGGGGCACTGAGAAACTTACTTCGACTATCATAATTTAATCAACATGCAGTGTTTCATGTTGTTACTTTTAAAATATCCTCTATTAAATGTATAATGGATAATTACTCAAACATACTTAAAGTACATACCTAAAAAACTACATCTAAATCCAAAAAATTCATTTCCTTGTACTTATAGTTAAGTGACACTGGCTCTAAGAAACCAGATTAGTGTGAGGTATGCAGCAGTAACAATTTATAATAGCTCAGTGGTTGGTTGAACACAATAAAAAGTTTGTTTTTCCTTACACAAAAATTGATGAGAGAGGGAAGCCCTCTTCTAGATAGTGACTTCATTAATTCCGTGGCTCCACGTCAAAGACAGAGAGGATGGGAGACTTAGACTTTCCTATAAATGCTTTGGCCAAGAAGTGAAAGATTTTGCTGATTGCCATTTGTCAAAAAAATAAAAATAAAAATAAGGCACAGGCCCAACCCAATGCAAGGAAATCTGGGTAACATGGCAAACACCATATATCTTTAAACACTCTCCAAAGAGATGATTTTCATTCACCATGGAAAGGATAAATTATAAGAAAAGGCAACATGGAAAAAAACATGCCATGTACAACTTGTACAGGCCTTTTCATTAACTTTCCTAGTAAGCAAATGCACTTTTTTGTTTTTAACATATAACGGTTTATCACAATATAATTCACATGCCGTAACATTCACCCATTTAGGTAGTAAAATTCAGTTGTTTAGGATATGTCTACAGAGCTGTGCAATCATTGTCACATTTAATTTTAGAGTATTTTCACCATGCTGATATCCATTAGCAATCCCTCCTCATTTGTCCCAATGCAACCTTGTAGGCAACCATTAATCCATTTTGTGTTTCTGTGTATTTGCCTATTGTGGACATTTCATATAAATGGACTCAGACAATATGACTTCTGTGACTGTCTTCTTTCAATTAACATAATGTTTTTTAAGATTCAGACAGATTTAGCATATATCAATGCTTTATTCCTTTTAATTGCCAAATAATATTCCATTGTATGGATATAACACGTTTTGTTTATTCCTTCATCAGTTGATGGAAATTTGGATTGTTTGTTTCCACGTTTTGGCCATTCAGAATAATGCTGCTATGAACATTCTTGTACAAGTTTTGTGTAGACTTATGGTTTCATCCCTCTTGTATATACCTAACTTCTGGCTCATATAATAACTCTATGCTTAACCTTTAGATAAACTGCCATACTGTTTTCCAAAGTATCTGTACCATTTTACATTCCCACTAATCATTATAAAGGGGTGACAATTTCTCCATCTCCTGCCATAACTTTTTATTATAATCATCCTACTAGAAGTGAAGTAGTACTTCATTGCAGTTTGCATTTCCTTAATAACTAAAGACTTTGGGCAACATTTCGTGTGTTTATTGGTCATTCATATATCTCTGGAGAAATGTCTTTTCATATCCTTTGTTAATTTTCAATTGGGATATTTATCCTTTTAGCATTGAGTGGTAGTATTCTGTGTATATCCTGTACACAAGTCCCTTATTAGAAACATGATTTGTAAATATTTTCTCCCATTCTATCAGTTGTCGTTTAACTCTCCTTATGGTATCCATTGAAGAACAGAAGCCTTTCATTTTGATTCTAATTTATTTTTACTTTTGTCATTTGTTATTTTTTCTTACATCTAAGAAGGCTATCTCTCATCCAGGGTTACAGTCTTCCTGCATTTGCATTGAATATTTTTAAAACTTTAGCTTTTACATTTAGGTTTATGACCCACTTGAGATATATATATACACATATACATGTATATACACACACACACATATATATGTACACACACACGTATATATGTATATATACACACACATACGTATATATGTATACACACACATACGTATATATGCATATACACACATACGTATGTATGCATAAACACACATATGTATGTATGCATATACACACATATGTATGTATGCATATATACACACATATGTATGTATGCATATATACACACATATGTATGTATGCATATATACACACATATGTATGTATGCATATATACACACATATGTATGTATGCATATATACACACATATGTATGTATGCATATATACACACATATGTATGTATGCATATATACACACATATGTATGTATATATACATATGTGTGTGCGTGTGTGTGTGTGTGTGTGTATATATATATATATATATATATATATATATACACACATATATAGCAAGGAAGGAGTCCAACTTCTTTCTATTGCATGTGAATAACCAGTTGTCCCAGCACCATTTTTTGAAAAGACTACTGTTTTCTCATTGAATTTTCTCAACTCTTTTGTTGAAAATCGATTGATCATAAATATAACAGTATGGTTCTACAACCTAAATTCTATTTCATTGATCTATAATATCTTTTTTCATGACAGTCTCACAATGTTTTCATTCCTGTAGCTTTGTAGCAAGCTTTGATATAGAAAGTGTGAGTCTTCCAAATTTGTTGTTCTTTGTCAAGATCATGTTAGTTTTTCTGGGTTCCTTGAATTTCCGTGAAAATTTTAGAGTTAGCTTGTCAATTTCTGCAAATAAATTTTCTGTGAAGTTTTTAAACAATACCTGGGATTTTAATAAAGTTTATTAAATATATAGATCACTTTGAAGAGATTCTCATTATAATAATATTAAGTCTGCCAATCCATTAATGTGAGAGGTGTTTCCATTTACTTAAGTATTTCAGTACTTATTAATATTTTATTTTTGTGGTTTATTTTTGAACGTATTCTGTTAGATGTATTCCTAAGTATTTTATTATATTTTCTACTATTGCAAGTGAAATTATTTCCCTAAGTTTAAGGATTTTTCATTGCTAATGTATAGCAATACAATTTTTTGTATATTGATCTTATTTCCTGAGAACTTGCTAAATTGGTTCACTTACTCCCATAACATTCTAGAGGACTCTAAAAACTCCTAGATACAAAATATTATAATTTCAAAACAGAGATAGTTTACATCTTTCCTCTAGTCTGGGTGCCCCTCCCTTCCTTCCTTCCTTCCTTCCTTCCTTCCTTCCTTCCTTCCTTCCTTCCTTCCTCCCTCCCTCCCTCTCTCTCTCCCTCCCTTCCCGCCTTCCTTCATTCCTTCCTCCCTTCTCTTTTTCTCCCTCTTTCCTTCTCTCTCTCTTTCTCTGTCTCTGCTTCTCAATGTCCCCTCCCTCCTTCCTTCCCTCCCTCCCTCCCTTTCTTCCTTCCTCTTCTCTTTTTCTCCCTCCTTCCTTCTGTTTCTCTCTCTCTACCTCTCACCATCCCCTCCCTCCCTCTCTCCTTCCCTCTCTCCCTCTCTTCCTTCCTTCCCTCCTTTCCTTCCTTCCTTCTTTCCTTCCTTCCTTCCTTCTTTCCTTCCTTCCTTCCCTTCCTTCCTTCCTTCCTTCCTTCCTTCCTTCCTTCCTTCCTTCCCTCCCTCCTTTCCTCCCTTCCTTCCTTCCCTCCTTTCCTTCCTTCCTTCTTTTTTTTCTCCCTCCTTCCTTCTCTCTCTTTCTCTCTCACTCTGATTCTCACCATCCCTCCCTCCCTCTGTCCCTCCCTCCCTCCCTCCCTTCCTTCCTTCCTTCCTTCCTTTTTTTCTCCTTCTAATCGAACTGTACTGGATAAAATATCCAGTAAAGTTTTGAATAGAAGTGACAGGAATGGAGAATCTTGTCTTTTTCCTGATTTTAGGTGGATGACATTTAATCTTTCACCGTGATGTTGGCTGTGGATTTTTCTCAGCTGTCCTTTATTGGGTTGAGGAATTTCCCTTCTATTTCTAGTCTTCATTTCATGTATCCTGAGGCTATGTTTGGTGCATGTATGTTTATAATCATAATTTTCTGATGGTTTGGCCCTTGGAGATTTTGGAGATTTTTGAATATATAGATTCATGTTTTACATCAAATTTGAAAAGTTTTTAACCATTAGTTCATTAAGTAGTTTTTCTATTGCTTTCTCTCTTATCTCTTCTCCTAGTAGTCCTATTAGGCGTATGATGGTGGTAAATGATGTCCTATATTCCTCTGTAGCATTATTCACTTTCTTTATTCTTTTATCTCAGTTCTTTAGATTGCATAATTTCTTGCAACCTAGTTTCATGTTTGCTGAATGTTTCATCTTTTAGTTCTAATCTACTACTCTATTTTTTATTTCATTTACTGTACTTTTTCAACCTATAATTTGTATGCCTGCCTTACTCCCTTAGCAAATCTCTAAGCTACTGCTCCAGAGATGGGAGTAAGGACATGGGCCTGCTTCCCTCAGAATGACATGAGTGGTTTATGAGATGGTCATTCAGCATCAGTGGTAGCCTCTGGTCTTCTTGGCTTGCTTTTTCTGGAATGCAAGGAATCTTTACGTTATTAGTAAGCTCAGGTGAAAGCAACAGACCTCTCAGAATTCTCAGTCTGCCATGCCTGAATTAAAGCCTCTGTCCTGTGAGTTGTGGCTGGGTGGAGGAAGGGAAACCCAAGCTCTTGGCTGCATTCTCCCAGAATCAGCCTCTGTAACACAGAACTGGAGAGTGGGTGAGAAATGCTGGCAGCTGCCTTTCTTGTGAAGATACTGCAGCCCTTGACTGGGAGCTAAAGGAAGAAGGAACCTGAACTTCTTGGCCACACCCACTAGGAATGGAGCTTCTGTCAGGCTGTGCTAGGGAGTGAGAGGGAGGGAGCAGGTTCTTTCTGAAAGGCCACAGACTCATTCTTACCTAATTTAATAATTTTTCTTGAATAAAGTGTCTGTGTGCTGTTTGCTCATAGTACAATTTTCAGACTTTAACTGATTGCAGTTTTATTAATTTTCCACATTTATTGTTGTTTGCTGGGGAGTGGGTACATGGAGCTCCTCACGCAGCCATTACGATTGTTCACACTGCTTTTAATTCCAATTAATTTCTTGGAAACTCTCCTTTCTGATTAGTTGGAAGACCAAAATGTCTCTAGAACCTTAGCTGATATTTCATTAAAACCAGAGGTTTACTCAGTAAAGAGGAACGTTGTTATTCACAAAATACACATGAAGAAACAGGCAAAGTCTGCTCAATTCCTGGTTGCTATGCACTGAATTGTGTCATCCCAAAATTCAAATGTTGAAGCTCCAAGCCTCAATGTGATGCCATTAGGAGATGAAGATGGGGCCTTTGGGAGATAATAGGTTCAGATAAGGTCATGAGGGTGGCTCTCTAACGATGGGATTTAGTATCCTTATAAGAAGAAACACACACACACTATCTCTCTCTCTCCCCCTCCCTCCCTCCTTGCCTTCCTCCTTTTCAACCCAATCTTTCTCTCTCTGCAGTGTGAGGACATAGCAAGGAGGAAGCTGTCTGCAAGCCCAGAAGAGACCCCTCACCACACCATGCTGGCATCCTAACCTCAAACTTCCAGACTCCAGAACGTTGGAAAAATAAATTCCTGTCATTACATCCACCTAGTCTATGGTATTTTGTATGGCAGCTGATTAGACACTGGCACTTCTGCTTTTGTTCTTAGCCTATAATACTGCTATTGAACACTACTCCCACACATTCTGTGGAATACCTGTTCATAGCAGGAGTTCTACTCCTGGTGACCCAGATCACTACACCAATCCTGGCATTGGGTTTCAATGTTATAGCTCATTACATTTCACTCTCAAATGCTCAGCTTATACTCCCACAGCAGTGAAATTGACTCTAGAAAAGACTGCCAGCTATAGTGACATATTTCCTGAGACTAGACTTTCCAATTAAAATGTCCAGCGCTAGTGGTGAGCCTGAGTTAGCAATGCAGATTCCTTCTCTCTCATGTTGAGCTTTTTGGGTGTCCTCAATAAATTTCCTTCCAAACAACATCAGTTTGATCAATGACCCTCTGTGAGAAAAATTTTAATTATATTAAATCTCAAAAGAAAAAGATTATGGGCTGGATGCGGTGGCTCATGCCTGTAATCTTAGCACTTTGGGAGGCTGAGGCAGGCAGATCATGAGGTCATGAGATTGAGACCATCCTGGCTAACAAGGTGAAACCCCATCTCTACTAAAAATACAAAAAATTAGCCAGGTATGGTGGCATGTGCCTGTAGTCCCAGCTACTTGGGAGGCTGAGGCAGGAGAATTGCTGGAACCCGGAAGGCAGAGCTTGTAGTGAGCCAAGATCGCACCACTGCACTCCAGCCTGGGCAACAGAGTGAGACTCCATCAAAAAAAAAAGAAAGAAAGAAAGAAAAAGAAAGAAAGAAAGAAAGAAAGAAAGAAAGAAAGAAAGAAAGAAAGAAAGAAAGAAAGGAAATGACGAAAGGAAAGGAAAGGAAAGGGAAGGAAAGGAAGGGAAGGGAAGGGAAAGGAAAGGAAAGGAAAGGAAAGGAAAGGAAAGGAAAGGAAAGGAAAGGAAAGGAAAGGAAAGGAATGGAAAGGAAAGGAAAAAGGAAAGGGAAAGAAAAGGATTATGGTCTTAATCCTTTCCCTTTAGAAAGTTTATTTACCCCAATTCAAATATCTCTACCTCCTACCTTCTGAGCAGCTCTGCATTCCAAGGACCTTTGGGAGAAATTCAAGGTCACAATCGTCTTACTACACAGTTCTCCAAACACAATTGCTGCTTATCTGTGCTTTATTTACATACCTTAAAAGGACCATTCCAGTGATTCTTCTCTGAACAAAAAAGTTATCTTCCAAGGTGACTTGCTCTGTCCACAAAGAAAGAGAGCCAATAATATCATATTACAGAATTTTAAGGGTTTTTCTTTTGTTTTCCTAAGAAATCACCTTACACATTTAACAACATTTTAATTGAAAGATCAGCAAAACTAAAAAGTGAGAAATAAATAAATTCAGTCTAAAATATAATGCGGCCACATTTCCACTACATTTTATTTATTATCTCTATAAATTCTGCAAAATGAGGAATGTGTTTTGGTTCTTGGCCTCATGGGTACTCATGTATTTTACAAAGACGCTGGTGAAATATTTTGTTATACAAATCACAAGATATAGTTTACACACAGATCTCAGGTTTTTATACATTTCTCCCTAAAGGGTATTCATATTTAATAAATCGCTGATTGAAATCTGAAGCAATTAAGTCGTAATGACCTTGGCATAGTAGTGGATGTATTTTCTTTTAAAACAATGTCAGTGCTTTTTTCTAGCCTGTGCAGAAGACAGCCAAGTTAAGGTAACATCACATGTAACTTTTTATCTCTCAAATATTAATACACAGGACGTTTTAAGTCACACTGATCAAATCTACCTGACAGCCTCTTGCTTTGTTAGACCAAGCTAAATACCTTGCTTAGAAGTTCCACTTTTTAATATAAGTAAAAGCCATGAATGTCACAACAGGCAAAACAAGTGTCTAATATTGTGTTCATTTTTATCTTATTTTCTCTTTTTTGAAATCATGAATAGAAAATTTTACTATACTTTATGTTGTTATAATACAACATTTGAACATCTTGGTTATAAAATCAAGTATCCATATTTATAGAGCAAAGTAAGATCATTCACTTTCCTCTTCTATTTTCACTCTTTCTTTTATTCCCAGAGGTAACCTTTCCCATTAGCTATTATATTTTTGTACAGGCCTTTCACTTCATTTCTATACACAATTTACCGGATAATAAATGAAATTTTAATTTTTTTCCCCCTAGGCTAATCCCTGAAAAAAAAAATAGTACATAGTATATAAGCCTGACAATCTCAGTTTCTTGGAAATTCTTTGACCCCTCAAATACCCTTTAATAAATTATTTTTCCTGTTTAAACTTCCAGGATATATTCTATCCTTAACAATAAGAGCCCTGAATGACACTGTTGCTTTTCTTGACACTTTTTCCTGAGAGAATGTCGATGGATAATAAACTCCCTAAGTTTCTGGTTATCATTAAATAAATATGCCAAATGATAACTTAGCTGAGAACAGTACTTCTATTTCACTGCCCTCTCTGTTCAGCATCGTGCAGGTGCTGTTCTATGTTTTTCTAAATACAGGGTTGCAGATAATGTTTTTCCTTTGTAGGTACCTTCTTCTTTCTGCTTTGAATCTTACAAGTTATGATTGTCTTGCTTCTTAGCGTTCAGAGGTTTTATCAGGAAATACCTGGTTTTGTGTGTCCATTCTGATCTCTTCATCTTTGAATTTGAGCTTTGTCAAAGGGAAGCCTTTCTTCAGGTCAGGAAAAATTTCTTCTAATTGCCCAATTTTTGTCCTTCCATCATCAGTTTATATTTCACTTTCCAGAACTTCTGTTCTTTCATATATAATTTCACTAGACTATGTCCTTCAAGTCTACATTTTTTTCCTTCATTATCTTGTGCTTTTGTTCTATGCTCTGAGATATCTTCTAAAACCTCGAATTTGAGTTTGAATCTATTTTCTTTCCTTCAGTATAGCTACTGATCATCTTATTGTTATTGCTGCTATTGGGAAAGCATTTTTTCAGAAGTCTTGAAGTCATTTTTGGGCTGGGCCTCAATTTCCTTAAAAACTCATATACATAAATTATATATCTTATTATATATATCATATGTATATAATATACTACATATATAGTATATATATAATTCATTCATTGTATATGTAGTACATATATAATTCATATACTATGTAATATATATACAATTCATTTCTTATTCAGTTTGTTTCTTCTCTTTATCTCTATTTGGCTGAACATGTGCTGTGTTTGTTCTGACTGCACTTTTTCCTTTAGTTGCTGGGCCCTTCAGATAAGATGTCAATTTTCCTTATCATCTCACTCAAGCTAGTTGTTGGACTATCTCAATTGTCTTCCATACTACAAGTGGTGGAAGTAGGCAGTGATATAGAAACAGGCAGATTGCTGTACCACTAAAGAGGATCCTTGTCCAGCTTCAGGGTGTCAGAGGATTTACCTCATCCCTTCAGCTTCTGCTTGGCCACTTGGGGCCAAAAATCCAGCACACTTAACAAGGAACAGATGTCATCCTTGCCTCCAGTAATTTCTAGGTCTTTGCAGAGATGCCTGCCCCTCCGTGAGGCTCATGTTCAGGCTTGCCCAGCTCACAAGGAAGAAAAGCTCTAGTCTCACTTGCTTCCTGCTCTATGGTGAGGACAACTCATTATATGTAGGAATAAAGTGAAAAGGAGCTTCCTGCAGGTAATCAGCTTCCCAGAATTTCCCATAGATTACCTTAATAATCAATATTGTGCATTTATTTTCTTTTTGATATTTTTAATTATTTTTCTTATTTTCCTGACTATCCACAAACAAAATGTTAAATAAGCATGTATGGATTCAGCAGTATGCATTCAGTTTTAACACTGATCTTTCTCCCTCTCACCCCTTTTTGCCTTTATATTTTTATGCATCTGCTCCTACCACTCATACCTGTAACATCTCCTCTCAACTGATAAACATGTTGGGGAACGAGCATCGTGTAAGGAGTAGATGACTAGTATCTGAGAAACCACACCACATGTGTTCCCGCATCCAAACTAGCTTTGCTTCCAGCATCTAGTCTTCGAACATTTTTGTGTCTAGATTGCCAAACCCCACTTTCCACCATCACCATCCACTAGTTGAGACTGTATCACTTTAACATCTTATTATCATAAAACAGATATTCTTAAAGTAACTTGAAAGAATATCATTTTGACTTGCTGGTCAACAGATACTGGCAGTCATTTCTATCATGTCAATGCTGAACATGGCAATAAGAAAAGAATCAGTTTGAGATGTGGGTTTTTGCCTTATTTTCCTTGTTTATACCTGATAATGCATTTTTTATAATAATAGATAATTTAAATAAAGGCTGCATCTTGTTAAGCACTCAGCTCCATCCCTGACTTTATGGGTGTCTAGAAATCAGATTCTTTAAAATACAACATTGTTAAAAATTTTACTAAATTTAATCAGAATAAATGGACTCATACTAGACAGAAAAGCTATGGACTTGCTAGACTCATGGAATACAGCTTTTTAGTAGCACTTTAAAAATCCATGAATATATTAAATATTTCTTTACAATATATTTTTTACATTAAAGGCTTTAATCAATCTGGAATTTATTTTTGCAGTTTTAGGACTAGTGTGAGGGAGATATCTAATTTCACCTTTTACACATAGTAAAACAATTCATCCCATATGATCTGTTTAAAATACCTACCCTTTTGCTAATGATTCTTATAATATTTTAAAATATAGTTTTATATTTAGAACTAAGAATTGTTCATGAGAACAATTCATGAGAACAATTCTTATTTCCTCTAACATACTAGCTTTATAAGGTAAATGTTAGACTAAAAAAAGGTTAAATCTAAATGATGATTTCCAATTATTAAAACAAATGAGAAAAAACTTCCAAATCTAAGAGAGATTATGATATTTTAGTCTAAGTTATTTTTATTAAAGTAATAGTCATTATACTCACTTTAAATCAGGCGGAAATGCTCTTCAAGATGGGTTTGAGAGCTTGATGATAGTTTCATATGTTGAAAAACTGAGTTGTGTCTGTCTTACTTTCTATCATATGACAGTTAAATCTCATGCATAATAGAAATTTTCTGCACTTCTGTCATGCCATTTTGAAAAAGTGGCATTAGCCTCATGGAGTTTCTGTCTGGCAAGACTGAGTTTCATTAAGTAAAACCTTTCACAAAATATTGAAAAAATCTGAGAGCTGGCAAGAAAAGATACTGATGTTATATACACAAATATTTTTAAGGTAGAAAAATTGAAGTTTATAATTTGATAATTAATATTGCATTTGGAGCAAATGATTTCATTTTACTCATATCAGAAAAGCTGTCAATCACAAACCTGAACATATCACCTTCTTCAGAGGCTGTGTTTTATTTTTAATTTTAAATACTTTCATAGAATCACTTTGTAGACTGGACACATTAAGAGAGTGTAATGTCTGATACTAATTACAGAAAGATATTGGTAGAAGCAGTCACATCTAATTATACATACTGAAACTGAAAAGAAATTTTTGAGGTATACGTCTTTGTATTAATTAATAAATTATTTTAGTTCTATATGTCCTGGTGAATAAAGAAACCTCTTAGTTTCTCTGATTGCTTAAGGAATATATTCAAGAGAAGTAGAAAGTTTAGCATAAACATCAGGAATTTTCAAAGCTCCACTTAGAAACTTCATCTTCACCTTCACACTGGGGAAACAGCAATCAGATATTTTACTTAGTTTGAAATAGAGGGATGTAGTTTCATTTAGAGTAGAAATGAGAATTTCCTTGACACGTTTGCTTTGGGTAGTGTATTTAATTATCTAATATGCAAGAACTATTTAATTTTGAACTTTTTATATTTTATTTCCCTTTAATTTGGGGTTCTAAAGACAAATGAAGACAGAACAGCTGCTTCGTCTTTGTTGCAGCAGGTGATATTAAATGCCAACCAGGAATTTGGCCATCTATGATTACACTGGCAAATGTATATTTCTCCAAGGAACCAGTCAAACGAGACCATATTTTAGAAACATGGATTTTAATACTCTCAGGTTTAAGCTAAATTAACCAACTAGGTGAAGACAGGTCTAGCATTAACTACAATTGTCTAGAGTTCTCATTTGCCAGGTGGTTTAGGACAGATCTCAAGGAGAGGAAGAAATACATATCAAATATTTTCATTTGAAATGTATGTCCCTTGCTACACCTGTGAATACAGATGTATTATATTTTAAATGTTTTGTTCTACAAATCTCAAAGCCCAGAGCTTTCACTTGCATGAATAACAAAAAAATCCAATCTTTATCAGATATCTTCGTCATCTACTATTTTAGGTTTCTGAGGAGTAGTATATGTGTAGATAAGTAAGAGTTTGATTAGCATTTGATATTTTGTGATGTTATTGTGATGAAATATTCTAGGTTCTTTACCCTAGTGTTATTTCCTAATTTATTTAACAAATACTAATTGAGCAACTACTATAAGCAAGATATAATTCTAAATACTGGACATAATAAATAAACAAGATAGTGGAGGTCTCAGGCTTCCTGGAGGCAGCTTTCTAGCATTACTGCTTTCACTTTTCTTCTGGATCATTGATACTATGGGTCTTTTGCTCATAATGCTGATTCGCTTTTGGGGCCTTAAAATAGTATGAGTTCTCCAGAGAAGCAGAACCAATAGGATATAGAGAAAGATATAGATATGCAAGCACAGATTTATTATGAGGAATTGGCTCACACAATTACAGAGGCTAAGAAATCCCACTATCTGCTTTCTGTAACCTAGAGATGTAGGAAAGCCATGGGTGTAGTTCTCAGTCCAAACCCAAAGGTCTGAGAACAAGGGGAGCCAGTGGTCTAGCTCCATATTCAAGTTCAAAGACCCAAGAACCAGGAATGCTGATGTCTAAGGACAGGAGAAGATGGATGTTCCAGATCACAAAGAGAGAGAATAAATTTGCCCTTCCTCCACTTTTTTGTTCTAGTTGGGTGTTCAAGGGATTGAATGATATCTGCCCACTTTGGTAAGGATAATCTTCTTTGCTCAGTCTACCAACATAAATTCTAATCTCTTCTGGAAGCACCTTCACGACTTACTCAGAAATAACATTGTACCAGATATCTCAGTATCGCTTAATCCAGTCAGGTTGACACATAAAATTAATTACCTCCATGTTGCCCATCAGTCACCTTTTTGAGGCTGTAGGTATTTTTTTGACTGCTCACCTGGCTGCTTTTCTCAGGTCAACAGATAAATTTCTTTTGTGCCCTGGGACAAGCTCTTTCAAAGGTATTTATCACAACCAAGCTCTTGTACCTTTATAACACAGTTCTTTCATTTATGTCAGTTGTTCCTAACCTTGGCTGTGAATCAGAATCAATTAGTGAGATGTTTAAAATATATATATAGATTCTTATTCTATTGAATTACAGTAATTGGTGGCAGAACCCAACAACCTCTATACTAAGAGAAAAAAAGAAAATAAAGCGAAACTTCTTAGAGGATTCTGATAGTGTGAAGCGCAGTCTCATATTTCACTTGGACCCGTTAATCCCTTCCAATCTAGACCCTGCTTCACAGTTTCACCCACCCTGGCATATTCATTTATGTGTTTGGTTTTGGCTTGTTTGTTTCAAGACCCCAATTTTCTTTTCCATCTATCAGACCCCACATGTGGATTTATTGTTCATCAGGAGAGTTTGAATATACCCAAACCCTAATTGTACATAAGTTCAAGTTCATTCTCACAGTGCTTCACAAATTTCAAAGTTGTGGTTTATATTTTTATATCCCTAGGCCGAGACCAGCATTTCACAATAGCAACAAGTTTCTCTCAATGTTTACTGAAACTACAAAGGCTGATGTGTATGGAGAACAGAGAGAAACTTCAGTGGGTGGTAGTCTCTAAACCCAGGAAACTAAATGAATATCACTTTTAACTCAGCCAAATTGCAGTTACTCATAAAATTTCTGTGGGAAAAGAACGTTATTAGAGATAAAGGCAAATATTAGAATCTAAGAAAAATATCTTTAGATTTGGCTAATGCTTCTGGGAATATAATGTTATCTAGAGAGAGGAGGAAAGTATGATGGTAGTGAAGCTCACTCGCTGAGGCAGAGCCATTTGGATTCAAGTCCTGGCAATGACACATTCTAACAGGGTGGCGGAGATAAAATGCTTAAACTGTAAGGTCTAGTTTCACCTCACCAGAGCAGAAATGCTAGCTGGACCTACATTATAGGGTTGTCTTGAATATTAATTAAGACAATACATTAAGCACTTAATGTAGTGCTTAACACTTCTTTGTAAGGATTCAAGACACAACTAACTCTTCTTAATATAATTATTATTGGCACTACTATAATTTTCGTGAGTAAATATATGAAGTAGGGAGCTTTAGGTAGAACTTTTTCCTGGGTAAGTTCTATAATCAAAGTTAAGGCATGTACCAATAAACATTTTCTGCCCATAGTAATTACATAAGAGCTATCATAAAAGGTTTTCTCTTTTTTGGTGGGGCAGGGGGATGGTGGGGGGGTGGGAATTTTCTCACTGTTTCTTAGGCTGTCATGAAGCGGTCTGCTCCTTTAAAGTAAAAAAAAAAAAAATCACCCTCTTATGATTTAGCTATCAATTGGGCTATCATGTTTATATTCACAAAATATTTGCAATAACTTAAGAATGTATTTGACAAGCTATTTCTGCTTAAGTTAGAGAATCTCAAAAGATTACAAAATTTGTCTGGGACTAACATCCTGAAAAATTTACTGTAGGCAAAAAAGGGTCCTTGACAATTTCTGTTATGAAAAGTTACTTTCTAAATAAACTGTGTACAAATCAATGTAAGGGGCAACTTTAGATTAAAAATATAAACTGCTGCAATGAAAACCTATACTGTGAATATAAAATATTAGAGAATTTTATTTATTTATTTTTATTTATTTATTATTTATTTATTTATTTTTTGAGATGGAATCTCACTGTCACCAGGCTGGAGTGCAGTGGCACCATCTCGGCTCACTGCAACCTCTGCCTCTCGGGTCCAAATGATTCTCCTGCCTCAGCCTCCCAAGTAGCTGGGACTACAGGTGTGCACCACCACGCACAGCTAATTTTTGTATTTTTAGTGGAGATGGGGTTTCACCATGTTGGCCAGGATGGTCTCGGTCTCTTGATCTCGTTATCTGCCTGCCTCAGCCTCCCAAAGTGCTGGGATTACAGGCATGAGCCATGGCGCCCAGCCAAGAATTTTATAAATTATAACTCAATTGAGAATAATTTTAATGAAAATAATACTGTGTTAGTCTGTTTTCAGGTTGCTGTTAAAGACATACCTAAGACTGGGTAATTTGTAAAGAAAAAGAGGTTTAATGGACTCACAGTTCCACATGGCTGGGGCGGCCTACTATCATAGTGAAAGGCAAAAGGCGTGTCTTACATGGCGTCAGACAAGAGAGAATGAAAGCCAAGCAAAAGGAGTTTCCACTTATAAAACCATCAGATCTCATGAGACTTATTCACTACCATGAGAACAGTATGGGAGAAACTGTCCCCCTTCCACTCAATTATCTACCACCATGTCCCCCCTACAACACATAGGAATTATTGGAGCTACAATTCAAGATGAGATTTGGGTGAGGACACAGCCAAACCACATCAAATACTATCAGTATAATGATCTGACTTCATTTAGAAGAATTACAAGGGAATTAGTTCATCTTAATTTTACCTATATCTACTTCTAAACATTTCTGGAAGTCATCACTGGTACATTGCTCAATATCTAATCTAAAGTAGACTCCATAGAACACAGGCGTTGGTCTGAAAAACATGCAATATAAGATAATGAAATCTAGTGTAATTCCCTTCCTTTTTATGTTGAATCGATTTTTTTGTAAGAATAAGCATTTGTAATAAAATTGAGTATATTTTCTATATTAATTTGCATTTGTTTATTCCAGAAGGTAGTCCAAGGATATGTTGATAATGCAGAAAACATTGTAAATATATCATTAATACAATTAAAACTGAAATATATAGTTTTTTGAATAAGTCTATTTTTGTTTCATACCATAATGTAAACAGTTGGTTTTCAAAAGAAAATCTGCTTATCTATGTTAATCATTTCTAAATGATTATAATTTAAAAGCCTTAGATTCTCTCCCGGTTGTAGCTCCAGAATTTCTATTCTAGGAAAATTCTAGGACTTGGTTTTCTGGAAAGGAGTAGAAAAATATATCTTTACAAGGTGGAAATACAGCAAGGTCATTGCTGTGACATAGAGCTTTTTTGTTTGCAATGGCTTGAGCAAACAAATGGTTATGTGGCAGTGAGGGAATGTTCCACCCCCTTTGTGCTGCCATGGGCCCCTCTCTCAATAACTATCGCAAAAATAAAATTGACTTCAGCTACTTCAACGGTAAAAGGAGGAGAATTAAGAAACCGTAAATCTTTTACATCTTAAGTTACAGGTTCTGTGCTTTTTAGTAATCAAAACTTAAGTTAAAAATACAACCAAATGCAAGTTAAATGAATAATAAAACTAAAGATATGTTATAATGCATTCTAAAAATAAGAGATTTCCCTATATTGTACTTTCGAATCTACATTAGAACTGTTGTACATTTTGTGGATACCTATGATTTCCAAATACATTTCAATATGAAAAATAATAATTCTACTATGAAACATAAAAAAGAACATTAAACAAAGATTTTTTGGTTAATGAACATAATGGAGATTTGGCCTCAGGGGAATGATGATAATGAAAATGGTCATATATTATGAGAGTTACCATTCTATTGAATGACAAGATCCATTCCTTCCTTTTGGCATAGAAAAACACTCTATAGAACCAAAGGGACCTAATTCTCGTCTATGTTTTATCTACAATGTGAATAAATTTTCCTAATTAAACATATGTATTAATAGAGAATTTTATGCTTTCAAACTTTCCTCAGCTCTTTCTTTCCTGAAACCTTAATAATGGAGACACTAAGTCCATTTCTCTAACACCTTCGCACAGGACATTAGAGATAAAAACAACCCTCTTCCTCTGGCATAAGCTTAATTTTCCGCCTTGGAAAAACAAATGTTTATACAATTTGATTTTATTTATACCATTCTATGCAATGAATTTCTACATTACTTTGACACATTTGCGACTCCCCTTTACTTTCTAGTATGAAAGTCTAATTGACTGGCTGTCCTTCAATGTATCCCAAAAATAGAGGCCTGTATTACAAGGCAGACATCTAATGAGATCACAAACCAGAATGAATGTATATGATTCTCCCTTTGTTCCATAAATCCCCAAAAGCAATATGAAAAAATTTGAGAAACAAAATTATTAATAAAAGAAAAACTCCTTACAATCTCATTCTAATGGAATATGCAGAAGAAATATGAATCATATTGCACAGGGCTTAAGTTGATAAAATGTTAGGCTGATGGATCTTTATGGAAAATATATGTGCTTCTTCATAGGGAAACGCACATGCGAGCTTTCATAGCTTCCACAATATACTTGAATAATATTTCCTTCACTTGCTGAATAATCATACAAAATGAGAAAATATATAATGGTGGAGTCTAAAGATCTACCTCTTAGTTTCACTCAAAATATTCACTTTTTTTTTGAATTAGTCTCTAGTTAATGACAACAGTAAACACAACTGACATCAAAACTGGGATTTATCTCTATCACTACCATGTTAAGTCGCATACCAAGTTTGTTTACCTTTGATAACCCAACTCCCACATAAAAGCACATTGTTAAAATGTCCCAAAATCCTACATAACTACTTTCAGCCTATTACCCACTTTTTTGTACTTCTGACGAGTAGAATAAAGATCAAGAGATTGGTCCTGGTACAGATCAGGTTCTCATCAGAGTGAATTGATTTCTCTAATCAGCAACATATTTTTTATAAGAAATCAAAACCAATGTTTGGAGATTTCTTGATTTTCTAATGTTTTGTTTTTATCTTTTTAAAGTAGCCTTAAGATAAAGTGAAGTTGAAGTTAGAGGAAAAACAGTTATACAATCCAGAAGTTTGTTGACAAAACTTTTTTGATGTCTTCCAATTTATAATGGAAAGTGAACTTTGCCGAATAGCACAAAAAACAAGTGAATCACATTACTCTTAGTCAAAAGTTTAAATGCAAAACAGTTCAGAAAATCCTCATGTTTAAGTTTTCGGCCTTTGTACCAAATTCTTACTTTATGAGCAGTTTATTCTATGTGAAAAACAAATATCTGTATACCTAGCCATGAAAGTACTAAATGGAGATGGTAGAGCTATTATTCATTGTAAGAATAACTGAAGTCCAAAGTTAGTGAGTTGGTCTTTTACATATCCTTTCATATGTGAAGTAAATTGATTTTATAATTGACGTCTCCAGTCATAAGCAGGAGTATAATTAAAATAGGTAATATTTCTAAATAGTTTCTCTTTCAAAGTCCTGTTTTCTGTAATTGAATGATCTAGAGTAGCAGTCTAAAAGTATGAGAGTAGTGGGATAATTTAACTAATTTCAATCAACTATTTATTTTTTTATTTTTTAAGTCCTATGGTCAAATACCCTTGCTTCTACTTGTTGCAACACTGTAATTTTATTATTTTGTGACAAGAACACATCCTCTAAAATATTTTTATTGTAAAACGTATTGTTTAGCTGGACTTCCATAAAATTAAGAACTTTTGCTCTACAAAAGACATCTCAAGAGAATGAGAATACAAACTACAGACTGGGAGGAAAGATTTGCAAAAGACATATCTGATAAAGGACAGTTACCCAAAATATAGAAAGAACTATTAAATCTCAATGATAAAATAAACACTCAGATTAAAAAATGAGCAAATACCTAATTATGTACCTCATCAAAGATATATAGATGGCAAGTAAGTATATAAAAATATTTTCAACATCATATATCATTAGGGAATTTAAAATTAAAACAACAATGAGACACTACTGCATACCAATTAGAATGGCCAAAACCTCTAACAATGACAACACCAAATACTGGCAATGATAAGGAGCAACAGGAACTCCCATTCATTCCTGGTAGGATGGCAATATGTTACAGCCACTTTGGAAGACAATTTGATAGTTTCTTACAAAAACTAAATATACTCTTATCATATGATCCAGCAATCACACTCTGGTATTTGCCAAAATGGTTGAAACATATATCCAAACAAAAACTTGCATACAGATATTTAAAGCAGCTTTATTTATAATTTCCAAAAACTAAAAGCAACCAATATATCCTTCAGTAGGTAAATGGACAAATAAACTGTTGTACATCCACACAATTGAATATTATTCAAGTATTTAGTCCAAAAAGAGATGAGCTATCAAACCATGAAAAGACACAGAAAACTTCAAGGCATATTACTAAATGAAAGAAGCCAATCTGAAAAGGCTGCTTACTGTGTGACTGCAACTATTTGACATTCTGGAAAACTATGCAGAAGGTAAAAAGATTAGGGATTGTTAAGAGTTGTGAGAGGGAGGATTATATGAGTGGAACACAGATCATTTTGAGGGCAATGAAACTATTCTGTATGATACTACAGTACTGGTATCATTATACATCATTATACATTGTTAAAAACCCATAGCATGTACACTACCAAGAATAAATCTTAATGTAAATTATAGACTTTGTGTGATAATTATATGTTAATGTAGGTACATCAGTTATAACAAATGTACCATTCTGGTGGGGGATAACAGCGGGGAAAAATAGGGGAATGGTATGTGGGAACTCCATACTTCTTTTCAATTTCGCTGTAAACCTAAAACTGCTCTAAAAAATAAAGCTTATGATTTTTAAAAAAATTGCTTGAAATATATTTTTTGTGAGTTTTCAAGATGATGCTCCCTTTCAATTATGTTTCAATATTATCAAACTGTGTTTTCTGTCCTATTCTTTCTCAGCATTGTATGGGGAGATTTATTTGTCTCCTATTTGCAAAAAAGCAGAAGGAAAAGTAAAGTTGCATAGCTCTTCTCACTTTTTGTTTTGATGTTTATAGCTTATCCCTTTCAGACTTTAACCTTATATGAAGCTATTGCTCTGCCATAATACCTAGCTTTATATGGGGGAGCAAAATGACATCCATTTACGTCATATTGCTCAACATTATTCTGCTCCCCTTTTGGTCATGCTACATAACCACCTAAACCATTCCTGGATTTTGTCTTTCTTTTTTTCCAGAACATTCCAGATAATATTCCCCTAGTGAAAGCATCCATTACTTCCAGAATCTAATTCAGTGGTCTGTGAATCAATTTTTTAAATGATGGTTAAGAATCATAGGCTATATAATGTTTTCATCCATTCCTTTATTCTTTCCATTTTGGTCCTTAAAATTTGCATTGTTTGAATATATTTTAAAATATTGTTACTGTTGGAGTAGGTGCAAAACTCTGGCCATTGCAAGTAATAACTACCAAGTTTTCTTTCTGGTCAACTCAATTCCTCCACTCTCGATTTATACACAGAGAATGGATATGAGTTAAATTCATTCCTCACTATCTTCATTGACATTTTCCCCTCTTTCTGGTTCAGAAACTTTTGCAAGACACAAGCTTACCTGCCACTCTAGATCAATTCAGCCATGCCTCTTCAGGCCTTGGCCACTTGCCTGGTTTCTTGGCCAGATCAGCTGTAGCAGAAGCTATTCCGAGAGTTGTAGAGTTCTGATAGCCACTGCTGATACCAACACTGCAGACTGAAGCACCCTTTGCTTGGTGCCAACTGACAGAAAGAGACCCCTATGCCTACACAGTGTCTGGCTTATGGCCAATAAAGCTTGGGTTTCCCTGGATGCTTCCTAGAGAATTGGCCAGGTTAAACAAACAAACAAAAAAACCTTCTGGGATATGGATGTCCTGAGGGTAAGACTTTGACCAAAGGCAGAAACAAAGCAGGAAAGATTCAGCAAATAAGTTGCTCCCTCTCCTCCCCAGCTGACTGTTTCCAACTCGGGTTTCCATGTCGCTTCTCTGAATATGTCCTATGTAACTTAGCAACAGTGTGTGTCGAGGCAAAGCTGTGGCCAGCTCTGAAATGCACCATCTTGTGTTTGCTCTTCCACATTCCTGCCTTCACTCTCCTATATCCTTGACTCTTGCTTCCCTGGGAATGTATCTCCCAATACAACATTAACCTGTTAGTTTTTGCCCTAGGCCCTGTATTCAGAAGAATCAGTATTAAGACCATGTGGGGTGTGTGTGTGTGTGTGTGTGTGTGTGTGTGTGTATGTGAGAGAGAGAGAGACAGAGACAGAGACAAGAGAGAGAGAGAAACCCCAAACTGTGTTTGTAAGCCTATTCTGTTTCAACAAGTAGTCAGTATAATTCCCAACTTGGTTTTAGCATATATATATTTTTTTAAGCATAAGCCTATGGTGCTACTTTTCCTGTAATTTTCATGGATGTTTAATGGGCTATTTAGAAAGAATCACCATGGAACCTCTAATCCACCATTATTTTATACTGGTGTATAAACATCTCATTTTATCACTTCTTTTTATCAGTCTTAATTTCATAATATCAGAGACTATGAGAAATCTTAGGAAGACAGAAATCATATCAGATTGCATTGAAAATGAAAACCACAGCCCAAGAGAGTAATTCTTACACTAATTTTGGATTGCTGTAAGAGTACTTCCCACATAGTGGTTGATATGGTTTGGTTGTGTTCCCACTGAAATCTCAACTTGAATTGTATCTCCCAGAATTCCCACATGTTGTGGGAGGGACCCAGGGGAAGGTAATTGAATCATGGGGGCCGATCTTCCCCGTGCTATTCTCATGATAGTGAATAAGTCTCGCGTGATCTGATGGGTTTACCAGGGGTTTCCGCATTTGCTTCGTCCTCATTTTCTCTTGACACTGCCATGTAAGAAGTGCCTTTCACCATGATTCTGAGGCCTCCCCAGCCATGTGGAACTGTAAGTCCAATTAAACCTCTTTTTCTTCCCAGTCTCAGGTATGTCTTTATCAGCAGCATGAAAAACGAATACACTAAATTGGTACCAGTAGAGTGGGGCATTGCTGAAAAGATACCTGAAAATGTGGAAGCAACTTTGGAACTGGGTAACAGGCAGAGGTTGGAACAGTTTGAAAGGCTCCTGAGAAGACAGGGAAATGTGGGAAACTTTGGAACTTCTGAGAGACTTGTTGAATGGCTTTGCCAAAAATGCTGATAGCAATATGGACAATAAAATTCAGGTTGAGGTGGTCTCAGATGAAGATGAGGAATTTGTTGGGAACTGAAGCAAAAGTGACTCTTGTTATGTTTTATCAAAGAGACTGGCAGCATTTTGCCCCTGCCCTAGAGATTTGTGGAACTTTGAACTTGAGAGAGATGATTTGGGGTGTCTGGTGGAAGAAATTTCTAAGCAGGAAAGCATTCAAGAGGTGGACTGGGTACTGTTAAAGGCATTCAGTTTTGAAAGGAATACAGAGTATTAAAGTTCAGAAAATTTGCAGGCTGACAATGTGATAGAAAAGAGAAACCCAGCCAGGCACAATGACTCAAGCCTGTAATCCCAACAACACTTTGAGAGGCCTAGGCGGGTGGATCACCTGAGGTCAGGAGTTCAAGGCCAGCCTGGCCAACATGGTGAAACCCCGTTTCTACAAAAATACAAAATTTAGCCTGGCATGATGACGGGTGCCTGTAATCCCAGTTACTTGGGAGGCTGAGGCAGAAGTATCGCTTGAACCTGGGAGGTGGCGGTTGCAGTGAGCTGAGATCAGGCCATTGTACTCTAGACCAGGCAACAGAACGAGACTCCTTCTCAAAAAAAAAAAAAAAAAAAAAGAAAAAGAAAAAGAAAGAAAGAAAAAAGAAAAGAAAAAGAAAAATTTATTTTCTGGGGAGAAATTCAAGCTGCCTGCAGAAATAGCAAGTGGCCTAATGGTAATCCCCAAGACCATAGGGAAAATGTCTCCAGGTCATGTCAGAGAACTCCCCGGCAACCCCTCCCATCACAGGCATAGAGGCCCAGGAGGATAAAGTGGTTTTATGGGCTGGACCCAGGGTCCCCATGCTGTGTGTGACCTAGGGACTTGGTGCCCTGTGTCCCAGCCCCTCTAGTTGTTCCTGAAAGGGGCCAATGTACAGCTTGGGCTGTGTCTTCAAAGGGCTGAGGCCCCAAGCCTTAGCAGCTTCCACATGGTGTTGAATGTGCAAGTGCACAGAAGTCAAGAATTAGGGTTTGGGAACCTCTGCCTATATTTCCGAAGATGTATGGAAACACCTGGATGCCCAGGCAAAAGTTTGCTGTAGGGGCAGGGCCCTCATGGAGAACCTCTCCTAAGGCAGTACGGAAGGGAAATGTGGAGTCAGAGCCCCCACATAGCGGAATACCTAGTGAAGCTGTGAGAAGAGGGCCATCATCTTCCAGACCCCAGAATGGTAGATCCATCGACAGCTTGCACTGTGCTCCTGGAAAAGCCAGAAACACTCAACGCCAGCCTGTGAAAGCAGCCAGGAGGGAGGCTGTACCCTGCCAAGCCACAGGGGCAGAGCTGTGCAAGACCATAGGGACCCACCTTTTGCATCAGCATGACCTGGATGTGAGACTTGGAGTCAAAGGAGATCATTTTGGAGCTTTAAAATTTGACTGCCCCACAGGATTGCAGACTTGCATGGGCCCTGTAACCCCTTTGTTCTGACCAATTTCTCCCATTTGGGATGGCTGCATTTACCCAATACCTGTACCCTCACTGTATCTAGGAAGTAACTAGCTTGGTTTTGATTTTACAGGCTCATAGGCAGAAGGGACTTGCCTTGTCTCAGATGAGACTTTGGACTGTGGGCTTTTGGGTTAGTGCTGAAATGAATAAAGACTTTGGGGGACTGTTGGGAAGGCATGATTGGTTTTGAAATGTGAGAACATGAGATTTGGAGGGACCAGGGGCAGAATGATATGGTTTGGCTGTGTCTCTACCAAAATCTCAACTTGAATTTTATCTCCCAGAATTCCCATGTGCTGTGGGAGGGTCCCAGGGTGAGGTAATTAAATCATGCAGGCTGGTCTTTCCATGCTATTCTTGTGATAGTGAATAAGTCTTACGAGATTTGATGGGTTTATCAGGGGTTTCTGTTTTTGCTTCTTCCTTATTTTCTCTTGCTACCACTATGTATAAAGTGTCTTTCACCTCTCACCATGATTCTGAGGCCTCCTCAGCCATGTGGAACTGTAAGTCCAATTAAACCTCTTTTTCTTCCCAGTCTCGGGTATGTCTTTATCAGCAGTGTGAAAGCAAACTAATACAGTGGTGAAAGGTACAAGAAAATGTGGAGTAAGGAGAAAGCAATAGAGTAGTAAGTTGGATTCAGAGTAGGTGCAGCCAAGTAGATTAATTCTGGTACATTTCTTTCCCAACTCCATTGGACAATGTGGCAACACTAGGCAGGAACAGTTTACATGGCAGTTTATTAAGGATAGAGGAGTAAATGGAGACTTCTGGGAGACACGGGGAGCATCCATGCTCAGGAACATAGCACGTCTCCTGAATTCACTGAATTCACTGAAAACAGCCGTCACCCAATCCACAGCAGCTTCTCCTGTCCTCAAACACTGTACAGAAAAATACAATGCAGAAAGACAGTATCAAATCTAACAAAGAATACCATTGAGGGGGAAATTCTGATAATCAAGAGGCAAGCAACTCAACAATTGAAATAACTTATCTCTGTAGAAACAGAGTAAGGAAAATATAACTTTAAAATAACTTTAATTTTAATCCTCTGAAAGATGTTAGCAGAATGATATAGCCATGAAAAGGCATCATAACAATTAAAATTTCTACCATTTGAATTGCCTTCTTAGCAAACAAAAGAATCTGCAGAGAGAGACGATTAGTGAGTTGCAAATTTAGGCAGAGACATTCTCCCAGAAAACAAAACCAAAGTTTGAAAAGGCAAGACATTGAATAAAACCTAGAAGTTCTGATATCTAATTAGATTTTGAGAATGTGAAAATAGAAAATATTTGCAATGATTTGCTAAGCAGAAAAGAAGGGATTCTATAAATAATATTGATCAGCATATAGAACTTCAGGAATACATAACATAATCTAATTTTAACAACATAATTTTAGGAAAAATATGTTCACTCTGCTTGTAGTGAAACTAATTTTGTATGTAAAAGGTCATTTTGTTCATTCTAGTATATTCTATGCTGGAACTGAATAGAAAAATCACAAGTTCTGAGTAGCAGGAATAGTCTATTGATCTTGAAACAGTCTAAAACAGAGCTGAAAAAAATGTGTTGTTATCAGAAAATTTTGGCACATAGTAAATTATACTACAAATACATTTAACTATAAACTATAAAAGGAACAACCCCACTGTATCTTTAATTGACTATGTAATGATGACTTGCTATTTTGTTAAGAAAATAACAGTGGAATATGATATTTGAATATCTTCTAATATTTTATTGCTGTGTTCTGTCATTTGGTGTCTCTTTAGTGATTGTCCCTTATATGTAAGATAAAAATATGACAGAACTAAATTTGGGGAGTGGAATATGCTGTGAATTCACATACTAGACTCTTGAACACAGAAAACTTTTAATGGTATCAAGATATAAGATGAGATAGTAAAAAACAGAACAGATAGAATTAACAATATGGTTTCATTTTTGTTCAGTGAGAAGACAATAGATGATGATAACTCTAATTTTTTACAAAAGTAGGTTTAAACAGATGTAATACAAGTTTGAGAGGAATTATTGGAATAGAAGTAGAGACATAACTTAAAAGTGGCCGAATAAAATCAGTGGAAAAAATATCACAATCACAAAAGATAAAAAGTGGGATAGAGAACTGGAAATATATAGAAAACATTATAACAGAGAAACTATAGGGTCACACAAGGCAATAATCACAATTTAGGTAAATAAAAATATACCTGAAATTTATCTACTAAAAGACAAAGAGTCAAGAATAAGCTAAAAAATAATTCATAATATGCTATTTACAAAGACAAACTTGCAATAAGAAAGAAAAAAAATTAAGTAAAGAGATATAAATATAATTGTATTGGTCAGGTTTCTCTAGAGAGAAACAAAGCCAATTGTCTTTGCCAGGTATCAAAACTCAAAACAATAGCAATTTAAAAGTATAGTTCTAATGCCAGAAGAGAACATACCAGTGGAACATAAATGATGTGGGTGGTATTTCAAAGTAGAGTTGAAAGGATAGACTACTTTGCAAATTACCCCCAGGAAACTGGAAATTAATTTTGAAAAAAAAAAAAGCCTAATTCACAACATTGAATAAAGTCTCAGTAAATTCCTAAATGTATTGTTCAGAAAAATCTGGAATATGCTCATAATGCTGATGTATGAAGAGATTTTTTTTGAAAAAGAAAAAGCAACAAAATAAAAAATTATATATATCTAAATGTAAAACAGTATCAAAAGACAACATAAATAAGGCTAAAAGACTCAGGAAAAGTATATATATCATTACAGCAAAATATTTATACGTAGAATATAGGAACAATTCAAATCATTAGGAAAATGAAAAATATCCAATAGAAATCTAGGCCTAAGATGTGCATTTTGTAGAGAAAAAATAGGCAATTAAAAATGAGAGACCTAATCTCAGAAGTCAGCAAAAAAATGGAAATTAAAGCAACAAAAAACACCATTTTACCCCTTAGACTGGTACATATAGAATAAAAATATTGGTGAAACATATTTGATATACACATGATTTGTAATGATTTAATATAAGACAGATACTTTGAAAGTCATTTTGGTAGTAACTATTAAAATTTTAAGCAAAGCATCAAGTTCTTAAGACCTACCAAGAGAAGTACTTATATCTGCACATGAACAAATATTTAAAGAATAGTCACTGACTCAACTAGTATAAATTGAGGCAATCTAAATATCCATTCATACAGGGAATAGTTAAATAAACATTTATGTGCCCATATGATGCAATGTTATACTCTAGTTGAGTGATACAGATGAATAAGTACTGATGTGGAAGGAAAGCAAATCACTAAACAATAGCTAACAAACACCAAAAGAAATAGGTAACTAACACCTACAGTGTGATAATATATTATATGACATGTAAAATGTATATTTTGGTTGAATATATATTACAATATATGTTAATACATTACTGTATATGTATATGATATTTTATTTTGGTCAAATATATATTATACTCATATTACTATTAATATAATAGTAATATAATTAATAGTTACATAATGCATACTCAATTAATTATATATCAATATAATTAATAATTAATGTAATATATATTCATCCAAAATAGCATACATTGTATTAATATTAAGCAGCAAATTGTATACAATTTTATTAATGTTAAATATCAATTTATATCAACAGTTTGAATATATTAATATTATCTTATTGTTATATATTATTGCATATAATATATATAAGCCCCAAATATTATATATTATATATTCATATATGTATTATTTATTCAACCAAAAATATGTTATATATTTTATGGATGAATGGGTTTATTTATTTGCTCTGAATTGCTTAAAGGTACACTTTGAACTCACAAATCTATCTATTTCTCATAAAAAAAGTGGAATTAAGGTTAATCATCAAAAGAAATTTTAGTCTTATTAATATTCTAATGTTTTATAATGAGGATATTCATGTACTACTTGTATAATTAAAATCAATTTCAAGTATAAAGAATATGAGTGAAGAAGAGGATAAAATTACTAGTTGCCCTATGGCATGTATATCTCATACTCCCTGTCTTGATACACGTTAACATAGCATTCTTATAAGAATTAAATATCATAGACTACATAATAAAGCATTACAAAATGTAAAGCATAAAATAAATTTTAGACATTATTAAGGGTTTTTTTTACTTCAGACAAGACAGTTTTCAATATTGTCAGAGTATAATAAAATTATTGCCAACAGGAATATTAATGACCTCTAAGCTACTAGAAAATGCCTGGAGCTAAGAAAAAAACTATTTTCAATCACTTTTCCTTTCAGAGCTGGGTCAATGGGGATTTTGTGATGGAACAGACCTGTGAATAAACAGTTTGTGCATAGACTGGAAATAGGAATGTGAGTTTGTGTGGGAAATAAGTAAGATTGATATAAATTGTTGTTCCATTATTAGAAAAAGTTTTTAAATAGGAATTTTCTGGAGGAGGACAAAAAGGAAATCAAAGGGAAGTGAAAATTTGATGGAAGATATGGCTTGCTAAATTAAGGGGGGAATTGGGTTTGGGTATGTTTTTAGTAGTGAGTCAAGTTGAAAGTCATGAGAATTGTAGACTTCAGATCTAGAAAGGACAATCCTTGTAATCCGGCCAAACCCACATATTCTACAGCTGGAGATTATTTATCTAAAGATAGACATGTTATATGGCTGTATCAAAATTACAGTATATAAAGCAGAAGTGGTATAAGAAACCATAATTTTTATATTCCATTCCAATGAGCAATCTCCCCATACTTCCGAGAAAGCCCCCACTGGTAGATACTTTTCTATTTATTTTGATCACCTATAATATTTTTTTAAAATAATACACCCAAATACTACATGCCATAGAACCTGACTTTCTAGAAGATGTGAAGGTACTGGAGTAACTTTTCCACATTCTACCCAAATCTAATTTTTTTTTCTTAAGTTCTACAACTCAGTGAAAGATACAAGGAATATACCAGTAACATCTGTCAAACTCACCCACCTGCAAGCAATAATAGTCTAGTACATTTTTCGTCAGATTCACCTGTATCTCCTCCTCTTTACTCTCTCTCTTCATTTGCAAAATACAGGTAAAAGTGGACAAATCACAAATATATAATAATGAATTTTTGTATCATGAGCTCATAGATCAAAAAATTGAATCTTAGCACCACAGAGTTCCCTTTAGCCCTTCCATCACAGTTTTCCCCACCCAATGGTTAGAGCTATTATAATTTGTAACACCAAAAGTAGTATTTTTGCCTGCTTTTAAACTTTCTGTGAGTGGAATTATACAGTATATACCTTTTTATGTGAATGGCTTGGCATTAGACTTGTGAGATCCATCTTCACAGTCATAGTTGCTCATTCTCATTGCTATGTAGTGTTTCTTTCCATGGATATATGCTAATTTATTTACCCTTTCTATTCTTAGTGAACATTTCAGTTGATTTCAGTTTGGAGCTATTCCAAATAATCATGTGAATACTCTTACATATTTTTTAAATGAACAGATGCATGCCTTCCTATTGGGTGTATGCCTAAAAGCGGAATTGCTGGGACATGGAGTCTGCATATGTTAATCCTTAATACTCAACAAAAAGTTCTACAAAGTGGTTGTGGTGAGAATTCCAATTAATTTCTATGAAAAAGACATAAATATCATTTGTATTTTTAAATTTATCCATTCTAGAATGTATGGTTGAATATCATTGTGGTTTTAATTTGTATTTCTCTGATGAATAATAATGTTGAAACTTTTATTCATGTATATAACCTATGTAAATATTTTCTGAAGTATTTTTATTGAATTATCTATATTTTCTCACTTATTTTTAGGTTATATATTATACATGAATCTATTTTTGAAAAGTATATGTGTGTATATGTAAAATTAATATATAATTCCCATAAAGTGGGAATTTTGTATATAGCTATATATAATTATATTTAAATTTATAAATACTTAAATTTTATATATATGAATTTTAAAAAAATATACTGAATTTGTCTAAATATATGTACATATATTTACTATATAATATATTGTCTATATTATATATATATTATATTATATATTATATATAAATGTACATTTATGTATATGTATGTATGTACATATATATTATATAACATATTGTCTATATTATATATTATATAACATATTGTCTATATTATGTATTGTATAACATATTGTCTATATTATGTATTGTATAACATATTGTCTATATTATGTATTGTATAACATTGTCTATATTATGTATTGTATAACATATTGTCTATATTATGTATTGTATAACATATTGTCTATATTATGTATTGTATAACATATTGTCTATATTATGTATTGTATAACATATTGTCTATATTATGTATTGTATAACATATTGTCTATATTATGTATTGTATAACATATTGTCTATATTATGTATTGTATAACATATTGTCTATATTATGTATTGTATAACATATTGTCTATATTATGTATCGTATAACATATTGTAATATATTATATAACATATAATATATTGTATATATTATGATATATAATATAACATATAATATATTATATATTATAATATATAATATAACATATAATATATTATATATTATAATATATAATATAACATATAACATATAATATATTATAATATAACATATAACATATAATATATTATATATTATATTGTCTATATTATATATATTATATATAATATAATATATATTTATAATATATTGTCTAAATATATGTACATTGTCTAAATACATAAAAATATATATACTCAGTGTAAGTTGTATATACTAAAATTATACTTAATATATATCTTATTTATTCATACATACTTATAAATACTAAAGTATCTAGGAAAACCTGAGTTCAAGATGGCGAAAAGGAAGCCTCCAGCTGTTGTTCACCCTGCAGAAACACCAAATTGCACAACTATCCTCATGCCAAAAAGCATGTTCGTGAGAACTAAAAACCAGGTGAGTGATCACGTACCTGGTTTTAACTTCATATTAAGGAAAGAGGTAATGAAAAGGGCAGGAAAGACAGTCTTGAATCACCTACTTTACCCCGTCCCCATTTCCTGGCAGAAAACATGTGATGCAAAGAGAATCTATGGTATTGGGGGAGAAAGAATACAGTGACTGTGGGACTTTGCACTGGAACTCAGTGCTGCCCTGTCACAGAAGAAAGAAACACAGGGCAGAACTCAGTCAGCATCCACAGAGGGAGCATTTAGACCAGCCCTAGCCAGAGGAAAATCATTCATCCCAGTGGTCCGAAACTGAGTTCTGGCAAGTCATGCCACCATGGGTAAAAAGCTCTGGGGTACTAAAGAAACTTGAAAGGGAGTCTAGGCCACTAGGACTGCAGTTCCTGGGCAAGGCCTGGTGCTGTGCCAGGCCTAGAGCCAGCGGGCTTGGGTTGCACATGTCCTAGTGAGACATCAGCTGGGGTAGGCAAGAGAGTGGCACTAAGATTCAACTTTTTGATCTGTGAGCCAAAGGAATGCTTGCAGCCCAGGGAGCGATGGCAACCCAAGGCAGCACAGCTCTGGGAGACTCCTTCCTTCCACTTGAGGAGAGAAGAGGGGCAAGTACATAGGACTTTCTCTTACAACTTCAGTGTAAGATATAGTAAGATGCCAGTGTAGATATAGTAGAAGAGGGCACCAGGCAGAGTCCTGAAGCTCCAATTTCAGGCCACAGCTCCCAAATGACATTTCTAAACACACCTGGGCCAGAAGACAACCCACTTCCTTGAAGGGAAGGAACTTCATGATGAATTCTGGCAGAATTCATCACCAACTGGTTAAATAATCAGCAATGGTAGCCTGGAACTACTCAACACAGGCCTTGGGTGAGACCTAGTGATGTGCTGGCTTTCGGTGTGACCTAGTACATTCCCAATTGTGGCGGCTAAGGGAAAAGATCCTGATATTTGAGGAAAGAGTGGGGAGAGTAAAGGAGACATTGTCTTGCAGCATGGATACCAGCTTGGCCACAGTGAAGTAGAGCACCAAGTGGGCTGGTGGGGGTCCCCAATTCCAGGCCTTGGCTCCTGGACAGCATTTCTGGACCTGCCCTGGGCCAGAGGGGAGTCTATTGCTTTGAAGTGAGAGACTAAGGACCAGCAGCATTCAACACAAGGTGACTGAAGAGCCCTTCAGCCTTGAGTATCAGTGGTAGACAGGCAGTACTCACTGTAGGCATGTACACACCACACTGTAGGCATGTACACACACATGCACAGTACACACCACTGCATGGAGCAGTGGTGGCCATGGGGAGAGATTTCTCTGCTTGAGGAAAAAGGAGGGAAGAGTGACAAGGAGTTTATCCTCCTTCTTGAGTGCCAGCTCAACTGCAGGAGAGTAGAACACAAGGTAGATTCATAAGGACCCTGACTTCAAGCCCTGGCTCCCAGACAGCATTCTGGACCAGCCCTGAGGCTAGAGAAAGTCACTATTCTGAAAGGAAGGAAAAAGCCTAGTTATATTTGCTACCTGCTAATTGGAAAGCCCTCGGCCTTGAGTGAACATAGGCAGTTAGTAGCCATGTAGTGGTCACTGCAAGCCTTGGGTGAGACCCAGTGCTGTCCTAGCTTCAGGTCTGACCCAATGAAGTCTCAATGTTGGTAACCACAAAGGTGCTTGTGTCACCCCTTCCTCCAATTCCAGGCAGCTCAGCACAGAGAGAGAGACTCTTTTTGTTTGGGGGAAAGAAAGAGAAAAGAGTAAGAATCTCTGCCTAATAATCCAGGGAATTCTCACATTTCTTACCCAAGACCACCAAAGTGGTATCTCTTTAAGTTTATAAGAGCCGCAGAATTCCTGGCTTCTAAAGCAGATATTGCTGCAGTGACCGAAGATTTAGATCACAACACCCAAGACCCTTTGAATACCTGGCAAGCCTTCCCAAGAAAAATGGATACAAACAAGCACAGACTACAAAGACTACAATAATTACCTCACTCCTCAATTTCCAGATATCGACGAATATCCACAAGGATCAAGACCATTGAGAAAAATATTACTTCATCAAGTGAACTAATCTCAGTGACTCAGTGACCAAGTGAACTAATCTCAGTGACTAATCTCAGAGTGACAGAGATATGTGACTTTTCAAACACAGAATAGCTGTTTTGAGAAATCTGAACAAATTTCAAGATAACACAGAGAAGGAATTTGGAATCTTACCAGGTAAATTTAACAAAGAGATTAAGATATTTTTTAAAAAATCAAACAGAAGTTCTGGAGCTGAAAAATTCAATGGACATATCAAAGAATGAATTAGAGTCTCTAAACAAGAGAACTGATCAAGCAGAAGAAAAGTATTAGTGAGCTTCATGACAGGCTATTTGAAAATACACAGTTAGTAAAGGAAAAAAAGAATAAAAAAGAAGCATGCCTACAAGGTCTATAAAATAGCATCAAAAGAACAAATCTAAGAGGTATTGGCTTTCAAAAGGAGGTAGAAAGATCAAGATAGAAAGTTTTTTTCTATCTATTTACTCTAAGGTACAGTAACAGCAAACATCCCAAAACTAGAGAAAGATATTAATATTTGAGTACAGGAAGGTTAATGAACAACAAGCAGATTGAACCCAAATAAAACTACCTCAAGATATTTAATAATCAAACTCCCAAAGGTCAAGGATAAAGAAGGAATCCTCAAAGGAGCAAGAGAAAAGAAATAAATAACACACAATGGACCTCCAATACAACTGGAAGCAGACTTTTCAGTGGAAACCTTACAGGCCAGGAGACAATGGCATGACACATTTAAAGTGGTGAAGGAAATAAACTTTTATCATAGAATAGTATATCCAGTGAAAATGGACTTCAAACATGAAGAAAAAATAAAGACTTTCCAAGACGAACAAAAGCTGAGGAATTTCTTCAACACTAGACCTGTTCTACATGAAATACTAAAGGGAGATCTTCAGTTTGAAAAATAAGTATCTTAATGAGCAATAAGAAATAATCTGAAAGCACAAACTCACTGATAATAGTAAATATACAGAAAAACACAGAATATTATAACTCTATTTTGATATATAAACTACTCATGTCCTAAGTAGAAAAGTGAAAAGATAAACCAATCAAAAATAACAACTACAAAAGCTTTTTAAGACACAGGCAGTGCAATAACATATAAATTTAAAAAAAGTTAAAAGGCGGGAGGCAAAGTTAAACTATAGAGTTTTATTAGTTGTCTTTTTGCTTATATGTTATTTTGTTTATGCAATCAGTGTTAAGTTGTCATTGGTTTAAAATAATAGATTATAAAATATTATTTGCAAGACTCATATTAACTTCAAATCTAAAAACTTAACAACAGATACAAAAGAAATAGAAAGTAAGAAATTAAAACATACCACCGGAGAAAATAACCTTCATTTAAAGGAAGACAGAAAGGAAGTAAAGATGAAAGAGGAGATCACAGAACAACCAGAAAAAAAAAAAAAAAACACGAAATGGCAGGAGCAAGTCCTTACTTATCAATGTAACGGTGAATGTACATGGAATAAACTATGCAATCAAAAGACATAGGCTCTGAATGGATTTAAAAAACCTAAAGACCCAATGAATGAAAACTTGTATTCATATGCAGAAGAATAAAACTAAACCCTTATTTCTTGCCATATAAAAAATAAAATAAAATAAAATAAAAAATTAAAATGGATTAAGGACTTAAGTTTAAGATCTGAAACTATGAAACTACTAAAAGAAAATATTGGGGGAAACTCTCTAGAACACTGGACTGGGGAGAGATTTATTGAGTAATACCATTCAAGCCCAGGCAACCCAAGCAAAAATGGACAAATGAGATTATGTCAAGTTGAAAAGCCTCTGCACAGCAAAATAAACAATAAACAAAGTGAAGAGACAACTCACTGAATGGGACAAAATATTTGCAAACTCTCCACCTGTCAAAGGTTTAATAAGAAAAATATATAAGGAGCTAAAACGACTGTAGGAAAAAATCTAACAAATTCAATTTTAAAATGGGCAAGGATCTGAATAGACATTTCTCAAAAGAAAACATACAAATGTCAAACAGGTATATGAAAAGGTGCTCAACATCACTGATTATCAGAGAAATGCAAATGAACACTTCAATGAGATATCATCTCACCATAGTTAATATGGTTTTTATCCAAAAGACTGGAAGTAATAAATGCTAGCAAGGACACAGATAGAAAGGAACCCTCATACACCATCGGTAGGAATGTAAATTAGTAAAAACTCTATGGAGAACAGTTTGAAGGTTCCTCAAAAAAACTAAAAATAGAACTACCATATGATCCTGTGGCCAGATATATACTCAAAAGAAAAGAAATCAGTATATTGAACAAATACCCACACTCCCGTATTTACTGCAGCACTATTCACATTATGCAAGATTTGGAAGCAACCTAATTGTCCATCAACAGATGAATGGATAAATAGAATGTGGTACATATACACAATGGAGTACTATGCAGCCATAAAAAGAATAAGATCCTGTTGTTTGCAACAACATGATGAACTGGAGGTAATTATGTTAAGTAAAATAACCCAGGCACAGAAAGACAAACTTCATATGTTCTGACTTATTTGTGGGAGCTAAAAAATTTTTAACAATTGAACTCAGGAAGATAAAGAGTAGAATTATGGTTACCAGGGACTGGGAAAGGTAGTGGAAGTGGGGGTTGAAGATGATTAATGGGTAAAAAATTATAGCTAGATATAATGCATATGATCTAGTACTTGATAGCAAAACAGAGTGAGTAGAATCAATAGTAATTTATTGTATGTTTTAGAATAACTAGAATACTATAATTAGATTGTTTGTAACATAAAGAAAAGATAAATGCTTAAAGTGATGGGTGCCCCATTTACCTTGATGTGATTGTTACACATTGTATGCCTGTACCAAAATATCTCATGTACTCCATAGTTACATATACCTACTATGTACCCCCAAAATAAAAAATAGATGACCCTCCCAAATCTATTAAATCATATATATTGTATATATAATTGCATCATTCAAAATCTCTGGTTTGGCTTATTCACTGTCTTAATGGTGTCATCTAATTACCAAAATTTTAAAACTTTAATATATTTTAATGAAGTTATTTGATTTTTATGGTGAGCACTTTCTTTGTGATGTATTTCACATATTTTTGCTCACTTCAAAGATATTATCCTATGTGGCTTTTAGAAATTTTGATTTTTTAATTGAATTTAGCTTTATGATCCAACAGACATTGTTCTTGTGCATGGAAAAAGATAAAATTAAAGTTATAAATATCTAATTGACTCAGTATCATCTATTGAAAGGCAGTCTTTTCCTCTTACATTCTGGTGGGACACTTTACATTAATTAGCTCACCACAAATACATGGGTTTCGTTTTGGACTCTTTTCTGTCCTATAGGTCTGTTTTGTACTATTAATACCATACTCATGCCTTTATTAGCTGTGGATTTTCACTAAGTCTTGAAACATTATAAGGAAGCTTTCCAACAGTTTTCTTCTCTGATAGTGATATGGTTTGGCTGTGTCCCCACTCAAACCTCATCTTGAATTGTAGTTCCTGCAATCCCAACATAGCATAGGAGGAATCCAGTGGGAGGTAATTGAATTATGGGGGTGGCTACCTCCATGCTGCTGTTCTCATGACAGTGAGTGAGTTTTCATAAGATCTAATGTCTTTATAAGGTGCTTTTCCCCCTTTTGCTGGCAACCTCTGCTTGCTGCCACCACGTGAAGAAGGATATGTTTGCTTCCCCTTCTGCCATAAATTTCCTGAGGCCTCCCAGCCATGCTGAGCTATGAGTCAATTAAACCTCTTTCTCTTATAAATTACCCAGTCTCAGATATGTCTTTATAAGCAGTGTGAAATGGACTAATACAAATAGTGAATCAGCTATTCATAATCTATTGTATTTTCATCTAAATTTTCAAAACAGCTTATCAAATTTCATACCCAAAACAAAACAAAGCAAAAAGGAGTTGGAATTGTAATTGTCCTTGTGTTGAATACATAGATCATCTTAATGGTAACTGATACCTTCAAAATAGAAACTCTTCTAACTCATAAACATAATATGCCTTTATATTTATTTTGTCTTCTTTAATACTCCTCAATGTTTATGGTTTTCATTTTAGAGATATTGTACATTTTCTCATTTAATTTTATTTCTAGATATTTACACTTTTGATAATAAGGAAAATAATCTATTTATAATTTTTAATTTCATTTTCTATTATTTGCTGCTGTGATATAGAAACACAATTTCCATACAGTGTTCTTACAAAATGCATAAGTTAAATTTATTTTTGCCTGCTTTTTCTACAGATATTGAAAGAAGTGTATTAAATTCTTTAACTATAATTATCAATATACATGATTATTCTTTGGGTCCTGTCAGTTTTTGTTTTAGGTGTATACAGCTTTGTACCTTTGTATCCTCCCTTTGTTTGGCCTTGATCATTATAAAGTGTTTCACTTTATCTCTCATAATATTTCTTGTCTTAAAATCTGATTAATCTGAAATCAATATAGACACAACCACTATCTTCATATTAGTGTTTTAATTCAGTCTATTTTTTATATAAAGTGTGTTGCTTTTGAGCAGCATATATTTGGGTCTTTTAAAAAATTCTAGCCAATCTTGATCTTTTGAATGGAGGATTTAATTTATATATATTTAATGAAATTACAGATATATTTGGGTTTTTCTGCCCTTCTGCTATTTGATTTTGATTTATCTTATCTGTTGATTTTTTATTTATTGCTATTTTATTTATTACTATTTTCTGGACTTTTTAATGACCTCTTTAACTTTTTAGGTAAACTGCTTTTATGTTATTCTTTTAGGAGTGATACTAGAGGTTACATTATGCATCCTTGACTTCTTACCATATATGTAAAAATATGACTTTAACCTTTTTGAACAATGAAAGAAGTTTACAATTGGAGCCTCTCCTCATTGCTTTGACACTGTAGATTTATAAATATTAAAAGACAGTATTATTATCATTTCCAAATAGTTAGCTATTTTAAATTTTTTACATATGCTTATCATGTCCTGTATGTTTCACTTCTTCCTGTAGTTTTATACTTTCATCTGGTATCATTTTTGCCTTTACATTGTGGATTATTTTTACTTCTTATAGTGAAGATTTGCCTTTAGAAATTATCTCATCTTGGGTGGATCACCTGAGGTCAGGAGTTCGAGACCAGCCTGGTCAACTTGGCGAAACCCTGTCTCTACTAAAAATAGAAAAAATTACCTGGGCTTGATGGCAGGTGCCTGTAATCCCAGCTACTCGGGAGGCTGAGGCAGGAGAATTGCTTGAACCTGGGAGGCAGGGGTCGCAGTGAGCCAAGAGAGCTCCACTGTGCTCCAGCCTGGGTGACAGAGCGAGATTCCACTTTATAAGACATCTTTATTTTGCCTTTAATTTTTAAGGACACTTTCTTTGGATTTTAAATTGTAGATTGCTAGGATTTCGTCCCACCATCCTCCATCCCCTGCCCCAAAATATTAAAGAAAGTATATTTCATTTTCCTCTGGCTTCCATGACTTTTGTTTAAAAGACAGTAATCGCTATTTTTCTTTATCTTTTGAGAAATACAATGTAGTTTTTTCCTCAGTCTACTTTCTCTTTTATTTGAGCAGATTATCTATAATGTGTCATTGAATCTATGTATGGTTTTATATTTACACTGCTCGAAAAAGTTTCATGAGTTCCTTGACTCTGTGGATTGATATGTTTCATTAATTTGAAGAAATATCCCCTAATTCTATCTCTTGAAATGTTGCTTTCATCCCATTATCTGCTCTTTCCAATGGGGACTGCAATTACACTTACAGTCATCCCTTAGTATCCATGTGGGATTGGTTTTAGGCCCACTGCAGATACCAAAATATGCAGATGCTCAGGTTCTTTATATAAAATGATGTGGTATTTGCATTTAATCTGTGCATATCCTCTCCTATGCTTTGTCACCTCTAGATTACTTATAGTACCTAATACAATGTAAAATCTGTGTAAGTAGATGTTATACTGCATTTTTTTAATTGTTGTATTATTCTTTTTATTGTAATTATTTTGGATATTTTCAATCTAAAGTTGGTTGAATCCCCAGATACAGAACCCATGGTTACAAAGGACTGACTATATGCTTTATTATTTCACTGTATGCCAGATGTCTTTAATAACTAGCTTTATTCATTTCCTTATTGTTTCTATGTTTACCTAAGTTTGAATATTTTTATGGCTCTAGCTTCAGGTTTATTAACCTTATAAGGTTAATAAAGGTTCTATGTTCATTCTGCTATTAAACTTATAAAATGATTTCCTAATTTCAAATATTATAATTTTAAAATTTCTAGACTACCATTTTAATTATATAGACTCCAGTTCTGCAGAAATATTTCATTATTTGTTTTGTCTTTTCCCTCTATTTCTTTTAACATATACACAATAGTTATATTAAAATTATAGTCTGTTAATTTCAGTATGATTATTTAGATACTTTTTCTATCTACTGTTTCTCTCTTCATTATCTGTCACCTTTTCCTCTTTTTTCATATCTTCTTAATGTTTTTATTGTATATCAGACAATGTGCCTAAAATAATTACACACTATATGTGGTATTTTTCTTTTTATTCCTCTGTGGAAAGGACTTCGTTTCTCCTCTCTTCAGTAGATTAGGTAATCAAATGATTGTCTCAATTCAACAAATCAATGATCTGTATAGTAGGTATAGTTTAGAATTCAGTAAGCCTTAGCCAATTTTTTTTTCATCCTGTTCCTCATGCATGATCTTGCAGGCATTTGATTGAAAGCTGAAAGACTATAGGTATTTTATTGGAGGGTTCTTTTTCGGTTTGTTTGTTTGTTTTGCTTTGTTTTTAGCTATATTCCTTCTTGACCTACCCTGTAACTTCAAAATCTGGCAAATGCCTTGACCTGGAGACTGCCCATATATTTGAAGCAAGCCTCACTCCACAACCCCTTCCCTAAGACTTTAGTGGGATTTTGTCTCCTAAGTGTCAAGAGATGGCAAAGGATTTCATTCTGGCTTTTAAACATTTATAAGCCAAACCCCTAACCACTACCACCACTACCAGCAGCCCCCCGCACACACAAGTCACTCAACAAATGTCTCATCAGGAAAAATGGCCATGTGCTTGAGCTCTTCTAGAATCTACCTCATCACACCAGCCTCTGTAACAGTCAAACGCTTCTCTGACTTTCTTTTACTTAAGGAGAATCCATCTCCTTAGTTTAAACCCGATTTTCTGCTCATTCTCTGAATTAGTAAAAGTCCCCAAGGCATAACATTGTTTGTCAGATTGTTTAGGTAGGGGGCTGTTCCCAGTATGTAATTTTAGCTCTTCTAGTTCTTGTTAATTCCATATTTTTGACATATAAAATATAATATGTATGATTACTCTTTTATTTTCTAGATATTGCAACAAAATCAATGACCTGAAGAGATGCTAGGTAACTTTGAAACTGTTAAGCCGAGGGATAAATTCTGATTTTTTCTCCTCCTCCTTTCCCTCAAGACTACTATTATTATTAAGTGATAACCTTGTCCCAAGCACAATGCTAAATGCATTACTGAAGGTGTCTCCCAAGAAACACAATAATTATCCCTATTTTTCCTATTTATATTTAGATTAACACAGGTTCAAGGAGGTTTATATAACTATAAAGCAATGGCATTGGATTTTGTCGCTGAAGTTATCACTCCAAAATGCATAGTTCCTACCATCATGTTACATGTCTCTCTTTCTTAGATAAATATATATATACAAATATATATTTATATATTTATATCCACAATGAGATACTCAGACTACCCACACTTCTGCCCAACTGACTACAAATTCAAGGGTTCCCTCTCCCCTATTATCATGTTTTTATGTATTTATATACATCTATCTATATGTATATATTTATTTATAGTGATATATACATGTAGCTATTTTGACACCAAATACTAATACTTGTCTTTCTTCCATACCAATTCTCCATTTTTCGATCACCAACTGAGTATCCAATAGTTCAACTCAGTTCTGACTCTGACTCCTGGAGTTAGTGCAGAACCACAGGTTAAGGGCTCAGTCTTACATGATTAGCTGCATTTCAGATGCTAGGCACGATGGGGTACTCAGATTATCTACACTTCTGCCCAATTGACTACAAATTCAAGGGTTCTCATTAACCTATTCTCGTGTTTAATAATTTTTCTAGAACACCCTAGAGAAATCAGAAAAAATATTTTATGTACCATTACCAGTTTATTATAAAGGAAACTACGCAGGAACAGACAAAGGAAAGAGATGCATGGGGCAAAGCTGAGGGTGAAGGTGAGTGCAGAGCTTTCATGCCTTCTCTGGGCACAAGATGATGTATTCAACAACCTAGAAGCTCCCGGCGTCTTGTGGTTAGAGGGTTGCACAAGGATGACTGTTTAAATCCTTGGGCTCTTAGCAATTGAACTCAATCTCCAGTTCCTTTACCCTTCCGGGAGGACAGGAATGGAGCTGAAAGTTCCAACCCTCTCATCATGACTTGGTCTTTCTGGCAGTTGGTCCCCACTGTGAAGCTGTGCAAACTTTCCCCTTGGAATCCTACCCAGGAACCTCAGAGTATTCGAAGCTTTGTGCGGGGAACCAGGGACAAAAGTGAATATTTATTTATTTTTATTATTCTACATTATTTTTCCCAAGGAGTGATCTGTACACAGGTTTGCCATCAGAAGAGGAAGTTTATGCTCTAGCTCTTCTACTACTTTAAAGTGTGACCTTGGGTTCAACACTTAACTTTCCTGACTCTCACTTTCTTCATCTATAAATGGTAAGAATAATACTTCATTGGGTAGCTCTACAACAGAAGTTACTGATATAGAACCAATTTTTAAACTATAAATACCTATAAATATTTTAATTATCATTTCTATTAACAGATACTCACATTCATATCCTGAAGAGCTTTTGTTTTTTCTCATCTTCCTTGAAATTAACCCCACCACATTCCCAATTATAGTTAACCCAAACAATCAAGTTGTTATTCTCTTGTGCAGGATAACCAGCTCATCCCATTACTGAACTTGGAACATTATGTTGAATTATATACCTCAGATGTCAAGGAAAAGTCCTTACATAAGCCACCAGCAGTAATAGAGTTTTAACCTTACTTAGTTTCCCAAAGACATTGAAATTAATTGCAATGTAAAGTTTGCTGAAACTACTAACATTAGAAACATTGAACTGCCAGTTTAAAAAATAATAAGATGGAGGGGAACAAGTCAGAATAATTTTTAAAAACAAAGACAGATATTATGTTGAAAATCATTCAAGCATTCATAATGCTGATATAATATATTCAAGCTCTATTTGGTCAACATTTATATAATGGAAAAGTATAGAATATAATTATTTTCTTTTAAACAGCACCAAATACTGAGAATTGATTTTCATAGAGATGGACTCTGATGCACTGCAGCCAATAGAGCTAAATGCTACATCACCATGAAGTTTAATTATGTTTAGTGTAATTATAGTATGATGTTTATTTGTAACTAAATGCTCTGCAAAGATTACTGGAACTTGGAAAGGGAGAGAAGTGAAGAAAGAAAAAAAGGAAAATAGAGGAATGGGAGAGAAAAGGGAGATTGAAAAGAGAGAAACACCATTGTATTTAAATTTTATGTCTTAACTTTTAAAATTATTTTCCCACAACCAAAGTGCTGAAAACATATAACCAAAAATTAACCATTGAAAATTTCAAGAGTAATATTGACCAATATGAGATTTTATGTTATTCTATCCTATTTTGAAATGGATAACTACTTGATTTCTTGTGACTTTGAAGGATTTTCCTCCCCCTTTGTATTTGAAATCAGCTTAACTTTTGAGAAAATGATGATACATTAAATTTTTAAAATTAATCACAGTGAAGTCAGAAGACTTATCTAAGATCACTGAACTGGTCATTTCCATACATCTCAAGATTCCAGTCCTTATTCTCCATGCTTCCAGGGTTTTTTATGACCTTATAATACACATCTTGTGAACTATGCTTATGCACAGGTGCATACACATGGATAGGCCATATATGTTGGGGTATCACACATACACACATGCAAGATGCAAAGAAAAAGTCCGATGAAAAGTAGCATAACAAAAAAAAGTTTCTCCAATGCATTTTAATTTTCAATAAGCTGTAATTACTATCCATTTATTCTGTAGATTGCTATGCTTTATTCTAGATTGTTCAGGTTATATTATTCTGACAAAACCATAGTTTATGTTTTCCATTTTCTGGTCTTTTAGATAATTTATTTTCTAAACTATCATAGGCTAATAAAAAGGCAAAGTGGATTTTTCCTCAAAAGGTAAAGTTGTGTATGATATGTGATATTGCACTATGAATGGCACTTATGCAATTTAGTTTGAATAATCTCTTCCAGTTTTAGTCTTTGGCATTTTAAAGGCATGTCAGAGATATCAAATATATTGTCTATGTGAAATGCAGATATACATAGAAGTAAGTCTTACATTTTGACATGTTTTTAATTCACCAGATGTTCATGAAACACACACAAATCACACAATCAGACCAAGGCATGCATTATACATCCAGATCTTGATTAGTGTTCATAGTTAGACTTCATGCGGATTATACCACTTACTAGCTTTTTGACTGAGATAAATCAGCTTGATTAAAATGTAACAAGAAACATAAGTACTTTAAAAGAAAATGCATTTTGTAATAAAAAGCATTTAAAAATAATTTAATTAAGCTATTTCAAGATATGGACAGTATTATGGAGCAATATACAAGACAAAATAAAACACAAGACTACAGTAATACACTTTGAAATAATAGTCTATAACTGTGTGCTTCTCCACCACCCCCTGCACCCAGATGGTAAATTATCTAGTTTTAAGTTGATCTTTCCATTCTATGTCTTTTTGTGATTTAATTGTTTTTAAGATGTCACCAATAAATAATAAATGAGAATAAATATTATAGTGTAAAACTGTTACATTTAGTATAGTTTAATAGATAAAAGAGTGTGTGCAAACTAAGAGGGTATATGTCTAATTTCTCTATTAATTAAAGTTTAGATTTAAAATAATTTTAAAATTCAAGAAAGTTAATATTTTCAATATTTCTGCAATTTGTACCTATAAACTTGGTAATAGTTTTGACCTATTGACCCTCTCTACCAAATTAAAGGGACCTTTTATGTGCTGGGGTTGTACTAAACATGAAAGAGATAATCATGAAGCAAAACTGACCATGCCCTGAACTTACCTCCTAGTAAGTGATTATGTAACATTCCTAAGCCTCCCACAAAAACATTTAAAATTTAAAGAAATTGGAGGCAAAAAAAGTTGTAGCATATTCTCTTTGTGATCTGTCTAGTTTTCAAATTATTCATAAAATCAAGATTTCAAATATCAACTCCAAGCTAGAAATTATGAGCTCATGCTGGATTTGGTCAATTTACATTGAGTTAATAAAAAAGGAAAAAAAATAAGTGGGATTCTACTAAAAAAAGAATCACAATACCTTTTAAGCACATGGTCATAGACATTTACATAACATTTTCTCTATTGTTATGAAAATATCAGAAATACTGGTCATGCACAATAGTTTTTTACCTATATTATTTAGGTGTTGTCTTTATTTACTTATTTAGTCGTCAAAAATTATTTATTAAGCTCTTGGGAAGTGCCAGGCACCCTTCCAGGTAACGGGGTTACAGCAGTGATCTAAACAAAGCCTCTGCCCCTGGGGACATACTTTCTAGTGGGATGTAATAGACTGCATTTTCCAAAATTGACCATAATATTTCTGGTCCTAACTGTTCTTGCAGAGCTTTTCCATGCCTGCGTTGGCACCTGGAATTTTTTCCTCTTCTGCCTGAAGCACGCAAGACTTTGTTACTCAGTGAGTAAAATTCCACAGGAGTTATGTGCCACATGAGGTACAAGTCAATGTCATAAAAGACAAAATAACTCCCATCTTTCTCCAGTTGTTTGGAAATTCTGAATCTCTATGTACCACTCCTGGCTACCCTACAATTGACAAACTGGGGAGAGAACATATAGATGTATAGAAATATGCCTGAAGAGCTCTAGATCTCCCAGCTCTCAGATGTTTGAGTCTTCTTATTCCAGGTGTGGGAAATGTGAGGAAGTGAGCCTTCTAATGACTTGAACCCCAGCCACTGCATAGCTGCATAACTGCATGCAAAACCCCAATAAGAACTTGATATCTAAATCCAGTCAACTCCCAGATTCGTGAGCAAAATAAATTATTCTTACTGTTTCAGGCTATTGTTTCAGAGTGTTACGTTATGCAGCAGATAAAAAAAACAGAAAATAAACCAATATGCTGATGAATATAGAGTATGCCACAGTGGCAAAGGATAAAGCCTTTGTAAAGCGATACAAGAGAGATAAGGAAGATAGGAAAGGGAAAGTTGGGGGTTGCTATTTTATAGAGTATTCAAGAAAGTAATGAACGATACTTGGACATTTGAGCAGAGACCTGAGAAGAGCCAGTGATTGAGGTGTGCGGGGAGAAACATTCTATCAGAGAAAAGAGTAGTGCAAAAACTCTGAGAGGTGAGTGTGCAACCTGTGTTTGCCAACCATGAGACAAGGTGGCAAGCAAGAAAAAGGAGGGTGAGAATAGTAAAAAATTAGGTTTTTGAATATAAATAGGCCAGGGAGATATAAAGGTAAAATTGTTTGCATTCTCTGTAACTAAGGGAAAACGTAGTGTACTAAGAATACCCCCAGCTTCAAGCTCTTTGCCAAATTTTCACAATCTGCTTTGATTAATGAGTATAGCCTCATTTTGCTTGACTAAATTTATATCATACCCTATTTGCATGCCAATGATTTTTAACCACACAGAAAATGATTTGCCCCTGACATTGTTCGTAAGCACTGGAAGGCAAATAAATCATAAAAGACAACTTTTTAAAGTGCATATTGCAAAAAGTTTATCTTCTAGACCTAATGTTTTACAAGGATGCACTAAATTTTACAGCCTATTCTAGAATAAATGATTAATCTGACTTGTAATTTTATGTATATTTGTGAGAGTAATGCTCTCATAAAAACAGCCATTGAACAGGAAAGTACCTTTTGTCTGTGGCCCAGATCTTCTCAAAGTGTTTTATCATGGGTGGAAAATATGCTTTTGTCTGTCAGTAGTGAAGTAATAAAAACTCACATATAAGCTGTGCTTGAGTGATTGTGTTAATTAACATGAAGCATTGACTGAATCTGGATTTAGGTACAGCTGTCACATGGGCTGCTGGAAAATATGGTGAAGTTTTGGATATGGGAAATGACAGATAAACTAGATAAACTTTATTAAACTCTAATTCTGTTCCCACCATCACCACATGTGTGTTCACCAAAGGGGTTGTACCTTTATTTACCTGGCCTGGGTTTTCTAGTCATACACGCACAAAAAGTGATAAGAAAATAAAACACAATTAAGAGAAAGTTAAACCCTGGAAAAATTTTGCTGGATAATCAAGAAATGCCTAAGTAATCTATATTCAATATAACTGCATTATATGTAAAATGTTTATTTGCTGACACTATAGGTCATTAAGGCTGGTTTTTAATGTTTTTAATTTGTATAAGTTTAAGGAGTACAGGTACAGTTTTGTTACATGGATATACTGTGTGTATATATATACATATAGTATAGTGGTATATATATATATATATATATATATATATATATATATATATATATATATATATATATATATATATATATATATATATAAAAGAGTGGTAAAGTCTAGGCTTTTAGTGTAACCATCACCCTAACAATGTACATTGTGCCCAATAGGTAATTTCTCATCCCTTCCCCCTCCTCCTGTAGTGTCTATTTTTCCACAGTGTCTCCAGTGTCTATTGTTCTACATTCTATGTCCATATGTGTACTTTGTTTAGCTCTCACTTGTAAGTGAGAACATGTGGTGTTTGACTTCAGTTTCTGAGTTATTTCACTTAACACACTCTCAAGACTTAACCAGGAAGACATTGACTCCCTGAATAGATCAATAACGAGCTTCAAAATTGAAATTAAAGTGGTAGGTTCCCCATCGCTTGCTCTCTCTCTCTCTCTCTCTCTCTCTCTCTCTCTCCTGCTGCCATGTAAGACGTGTCCTGCTTTCCCTTCACCTTCTGCCATGATTGTACGTTTCCTAAGACCTCCCTAAACATGTGGAACTGTGAGTCAACTAGACCTCTTTTGTTTATTAATTACTCAAGTACAGGTAGTATCTTTATAGCAGTGTGAGAACAGACTAATGTAAGAGATTTCTAACTTTTTAATGTAGGTGTTCAGTGCTATAAATTTCCCTGTTAACATTACCTTAGCTATGTTCCAGGCATTCTGATATGTAGTATCTTTTTTCTCATTAAATTCAAATGACTTCTTGATTTCTACCTTAATTTTATTATTTACCCAAAAGTCATTCTGGAGCAGGTTGTTTACTTTCCATGTGATTGCATGGTTTTGAGTGATTTTTAAGTTTTGATTTGTATTTGTATTGTGTTGTGGTCCAAGAGTGTGTTTGCTATGATTTTGGTTCTTTTTTATTTGCTAAGGATTGTTTTATGTCCAATTGTGTAATCAGTTTAAAAGTATGTGCCATGTGGTGATGAGAAGGATGTATATTCTGTTGTTTGAGGCATAGAGTTCTGTAGAGGTCTATCAGATTCATCTGGTCCAATGTTGACTTCAGGTCCTGAAGATCTTTCTTAATTTTCTGCCTCAATAAGCTGTCTAATACTGGCAGTGGAGTGTTGAATTCTCCCATGACTATTGTATGGGAGTCTATGTTTCATTGTAGGTCTCTAAGAACTTGCTTCATGAATCTGGGTATTCCCGTGTTGGGTGCAGCTATATTTAGGATAGTTAAGTCTTCTTGTTTAATTGAATGCTTTACCATTATGTATGCCCTTTATTGTGGTTTTTTGATCATCATTGGTTTAAAATTTGTTTTGTCTGAAATTAGAATTGTAACTCCTGTTTTTTTCTCATTCCTATTTGCTTGGTAGATTTTCCTCCATCCCTTTATTTTGAGCTTATAGGTGTCACCGCATGTAAGATGGGTCTCTTGAACACAACATACCATTGGGTCTTACCTTTTCACCCAGCTTGCCACGCTGTGCCTTTTAAATGGAGCATTTAGCCTATTTACATTCAAGATTAGTATTGATATGTGTGAATTTTATCCTCTCATTGTGTTGTTAGCTGATTATTATGCCAGCTTGTTAGTGTGGCTGCTTTATAGTATCACAGGTCTGTGTACTTAAGTGTGTTTTTGTATTGTCTGGAAACAGTCTTTCCTTTCCATATTTAGTGCTCCTTTCAAGATTTCTTGTAAGACGGGTCTGGTGGTAATGTGCTCCCTCAGCATTTGCTTATCTGAAAGGGATCTTATTTCTCCTTTGCTGAGGAAACTTAGTTTAGCTGGATATGATATTCTTGGTTGAAGTTTTTTCATTTACCATTGTTGAATATAGGCCACCAATCTCTTCTGGCTTGTAGGGTTTCTGCTGAGATGTCCACTGTTAGCCTGATGGGCTTTCTTTTTAGTGACCTTCCCTTTCTCTCTAGCTGTCTTGTCTTTAACATGCTTTCTTTTATTTCAACCTTGGAAAATCTGATGATTGTATGTCTTGTGGATAGTCTTTTGTTGACTCCTATAGGAGTTCTCTGTATTTCCTGAATTTGACTGTTGGCCTCTGTAGCAAGGTTAGGAATGTTTCCATGGATGATACCCTAAAATATGCATCCCAAGTTGTTTACTTTCTCCTCATCCCTTTCAGGGATGCCAGTGATTTATAGATTTGGCTTATTTACATAATCACATTTCTTGGAGATTTTGTTCATTCTTTTTTCTTGTTTTTACTTTTATTTATTTATTTTTTTGTCTGACTGTCTTATTTCAGAATGCCAGTCTCTGTCTTATTTCAGAAAGCCAGTTTTTCACTTCTGAGATTCTTTTCTCAGAAGTGTCTTTCAGCTGTATCAGATCAGTTAGGTTTTTGTTTTGTTTTGTTTTGTTTTAATACTGGCTATTTTGTCTGTCAGTTTGTGTGTCATTTTATTGTGATTCTTAGTTTCCTTGGATCAGGTTTTGCCATTCTCCTAAATCTCAGTGATCTTCATTTCTATCCATATTCTGAATTCTATTTCAGTGATTTCAGCAAACAAAGTCTCGTTAAGAGCCTTTATTGAAGAGCTAGTGCAGTTGTGTGGAGGATGTAAGACATTCTGGCCATTTGAGTTGCTGCAGTTTCTGTGTTGTTTTTTTCTCATCTCTGTGTGTGGGTGTTCCTTTAACTGCTTGGCTGCCTCTAATTAAAGTGGGCAGAAGCAGAGTGGTTGTGTTGGAGTCCCAGGTCAGGGACCCCCACCCAGTAAGGAGAAGTGATGATGGAGACCTGGGTGGAGAATAATCCAGCCACTTTTCTCTGAGTTTCATGCTGTATGCTGGAGGTCCAAAAGAGCATTTGGTCCAGCAGACTCTCCAGAGCATGGAGAGAGCAAGGATGAGAGCTGGAAGACAGAAAAGATGGCAATACACCCCTTCCACTGGAAGCTCTGGAAGTTTCAGAGCTCCTACTGGCTCCATAGTCCCAGAAAAAGGTGGCTGGAGACCTGGGCTGGGAATATCCACTCAGTGAGGAGATATGAGACCCACGTAACAGTCTGGCCACTTTTCACTAGGGCTGCTGCAGTAACCTGGGGGTCCACTCCAGTTCCTAGTCACCTTGGATTTTCCAGTGCCTGCAGGTGTCAATAGTGAAGGCTGAAAGACAGCAAAAGTATGGTCTGCCCCTCCCTCTGGGAACTCCATCCCAGGGAGCTCCAAGTTGGTAGCTGGGGACTTAGGTTGGGAAGTCCCACTCAGTAAGGAGGAAGGGGATCAGGGACCTGTTTAAAAAAGCAGTCTGGCCACTTCTTTGTAGAGCAGATGTGCTGTGTTGGAGGTCCATTCCAGCACTCAGTCAACTTGGACTCTCCAAAATCCAAAGGTGACAATGGCTAAGGCTGCAAAACAGCAATGATAACAGCCTGCCTCTCCCTCTGGGAACTACATCCCAGGGATGTTTGCAACTGCTGCCAGCTGGAATAGGCTGGTAGGTGTCGTGTAGACCTCAGTCAGGAGATTCCACTCAGTGAAGAAAAATGGGATCTGGGACCCAGGTGAAAATGCAGTCTGGCCACCTTTTCATAGTGCTGCTGCATTGTGCCAGAGGACTGCTCCAGTCCATGGTCACCTTGGATTCCCTGGAGCTTAAAGGCACCAAAGGCTAAGGCTGTAGAGCTACCATATTTTCTGTATCCAGTTATTCATTGATAGACACAAAGGTTGATTTCATAACATTTGCTGTTGTGAATAGTGCTGTGATAAACATCTGAGTGCAAGTATCTTTTTTATATAATTTTGTTTCTTTGGGAACATACCCAGTAAGTAGCAGGATTGCTGGATCAAATGGTAGTTCTATTTTTGGCTATTTGGGAAATCTCCATACTATTTCTCATAGAGTTTTTACTAATTTAAATTCCCACCAAGAGCTTGTAGGAGCTCCTTTTTCTCTGCATCTTTGTCAATATCTGTTATTATTTGACTTCTCAGTGATAGCCATGTGAACTGGTGAAAGATGACATCCCATTGCGGTTTTAATTTGCATTTCCCCAATATTTAGTAATGTTATCATTTTTTCATATGTTTATTGGCCATTTGTGTGTCTTTTATGTGAGTGCAGTCCTTTAAAAGGGTAGTTTTATTGTTCAAAACATTAAATATTCTTGCACAGAGTGGGCAGGTCTGCCCAGAATCATAACAGTTTACATACTGTGAGACAGTCAGAATGACTGTTTGGACTGAACTGCTGGGATTCTGGTCATCTGGCAGCTAGAAGAAATTTACAGTAGAAATAAAAGAACATGACTATTTCAAGTATATTAGATCTTTGAAGAGAAAGATGATCATTAAGTCATAATGGGAAATATATTAACATATATTTTCTAAAATTAATATATTTGTATGGAATACCAAGACTTCTCTAATACTAATCATTATTGTCTATGAATATCTCCATTAAAGAGTAATCACCTGGAACTGAGTTTTCATTACTGTGTATCAACCTAGTTATTAGATTTCTCTATGAATCAAATCAAAAATACAATGCCAGTTTTTTTCAACATATTTGTCTATAAAACAGAATCTTATACTCAGGGTTTTCCTCTTATGGGAGGCTGTAACTCAAGCTTAAAAATTAATTGACATTTTCATGTTGGCTAGATGAAAATTTAAGTCATGTTTCTTACCCCACTAAAATTAATATAAAACAGTTTGCCCTTCTGAAACTGGGTTGCAGATCTTCAGGAAGCAGAGATATGCTGTGGACAGAAGGAAATGAAAACTATAGGGTATCATGGAAAAGGATTCTAAAGCATCTGTCATATGAGATGGTGGGTAAGAAAAAATATTTTCCCACATATTATTATTAAAAAGTAACCATTTAAACATGTTGAAAGGCTACTACAGTGAACATCTTGCTATTATATATATTCTGACAAACTCTGATTTTGAATATGCGTGTTTACCCTACTAATATTTAGTGTAATTATGGTTTGCATTTAAAATAAACATTGCAAAACTTGTTAACTTTCTCCAGTTGTTACTTTTGTTTGTTTCTCTCCTTTCCTGACTTATTTTGAATTATTTTGGGATTTTTTAGAATTCCATATTAACGTATCAAGTGGTTTTTTAGTAAACCTTTCTGCATTGCTTTTTAGTGTTCATTTTAAGATTACAATATGCATTCTTAATGCCTCAAGTGTTTGCTTCTAGGTAATGTTATACCACTTGCAATCATAGAGGTCCATTGACCACACTCCTTTATGTTAGAGTTTCTAAATGTACACATCGCATATTTATGAATACCAAATGACAATGTTTTGTAAATAATAATCCATATATTGTATTGTATATAGTGTAAAATTCACTAATTAAAATCCATGAATTATAGATAAAAGATCTTAGTATGTATTTTAAACAAATTACCATTTTCAGGGCTTTTTATTTATTCCTGAATATACAAGGGTCCATCCTGCATTGTTTCTTCTACTCTGAATAAATCTTCAGAATTTCTTGTGGGACAGGTCTGCTGGCATTGAATATTAAATGCTAAGGAATTATCTTTGATCTTTTTAAACCTGAAAATCTATTTGATTCTCCTTCATTTTGGAATTATATTTTTCCTGGATATAGTAGTATCTTGGGGTGATAATATTTTTTTCCTTAGCACTTTATGAGGTGGCTCACGCCTGTAATCCTAGCACTTTAGGAGGCCAAGGCGGGTGGATCACCTGAGGTCAGGAGTTTGAGAACAGCCTGGGCAACATGGTGAAACCCCATTTCTACTAAAAATACAAAAACTAGCCAGGTGTGGTTGCACGTGCCTGTAATCCAGCTACTTGGGAGGCGGAGGCAGGAGCATTGCTGGAACCCGGGAGGCAGAGGCTGTAAGGGAGCCAAGGTCGCACCACTGCACTTCAGCCTGGGCAACAGAGCAAGACTCTGTCCAAAAAAAAAAAAAAAAGATTTGTTTTCATTGTCTTTTGGCACCCATTGTTTATGGTGAGGTTAGTAATCATTCACATTTTTATGTAGCTATGTGTTCTTTTGTCTGATGGCTTAAAAAAATTCTTATATTTTAATCACTTACTGTTAGGATCTTAAAGGCTCATTACTTGGGTTTCACTGAACTTATGTATATAAACATATGTACATTACCATATTTTAAAAATTTTAAGCAATTATTTCTTTAAACATTTTAAAATTTTAATACAATTCTTTGTTTTCTACTTTTATGGGGTAATGCTTTTTGATATTATCTCACAGGTTTTGAGGTTTTGTCAAAATTTTTAATTGTCTTTTTTGTTTCCCACTATTTTCTGGATTGACTAAATTCTGTTTGCTCATATTCAAGTTTCCTAACTTGTTCTTTTGTAATTTCCATTGTTCTGTTAAGCACACCTAGTGAGTTATTTTTAAAATATTTTATTTTTCAGTTCTAGAATTTCCATTTAGTTATTTCTTATGAATTCTGTTTCTCTACTGAGATTTCCTATGCATACATTTATTATAAGCTTTTTTCTTTCATGCCCTTTATCTTCTTGCTTTAATATTTGGTTCACATTAAGACATGTTTAGGTTTATTATATTTTTCTTTGACAATACATCATATTTTCCTATTTCTTCATATGTCAAATAGCTTGGATTGCATCACAGACCTTGTTATGCATCTCATTGTACCCTTCCAAAGTGGATTGCTGTTTCATGAGACATTTAACCTGGTTGGATTCGAACTACAGTTCTGTCTCTTGGGCATACAGTCAAATCTCATTTCAGTTCTTTCAGCTTTGACTGAGCTGTTCAGAATGTTTCATCAATGTGTAGTCCGGGAGGCAGAACAGAAGTGGCAGAGCTTAAACTGAGAATTGAGACTCTCCCTCTCTTCTATTTCTAGGATCTCTCCCTTGTTTTCCAGTGCTGGAACTGCCTCAAACTACAGCATCTAGGTTTTTAAGTTGGAAAGTCTAAAGTTTCCTCTTAGAGTTTATGGAGTCCTGAATGGCACAAAGGGGGCTTCTCTTTAAAGGCCACATACACGTATACATACATACATGTGAACATACATACATAAAGAATAAAATTACCTAGTGCATTCTCTGTTCCAGCTATCTAGTCCCCTTTCTGTTAGCTTTTGGTTGCTTTCCACTGTTTTTGATATTTTGTAAAAGACTTATACTAGTCACCTGAAAGAGAGTTTGTCAGATATGATCTTTCTTGGCCATTGACTAAGAAGAACCTTAAAGAGAAATCATTTTAATGTTAAAATGAGCATAATATAGGTGATAAAAAATAGGTTTAACATTTTCTGGTAAAGCTCAACTGGAGAGTTGGCTACTTACACAGATTCACTCAGGCCAGCCAGATCATGATGTTGATGAAGAATGTGCTTCCCCTACCATTGGCAATGCACATTGGATTTTTATGTAAGCCTAAAAGCCTCATAGAAAATTTTTAAAATTTTTTTCAGGAATATGCATTTATTATCTATTTTTAAGAAAAAAAATAGCCCCTGGAAAAGACTAAAAGCTCTTAATAAATTTCCATCCTGACAGTAAGAGAAAATATTTGATCCCATTTTTCTTAATAGTACCTATTTGCATTTTTCTGTATTCAGTAGCATAATTGTAAGTTGATTCTGAAAAACAGTCTTTTTCATGGAGAGATCACCTCTTTGTAACAAATACAGTGACCATGACATTTGAAAAAGGGATGTTCCCATTTTTATGTTTTAAATAACAGACAATTTATATTCCAAAGTGTTTAATAAAGCATCTGTTTTGTTGATTTTATTTCTTATTGTATTTTGTTGGGTTTATTTAAGATATACAACACGTTGCTATAGGTTACATATAGATATTTAAAAGGTTACTATAGTGAAGCAAATTAATATACCAATCATTGTATTAATCTGTTATCATGCTGCTAATAAAGACACACTTGAGACTGGGCAATTTATAAAGAAAAAAAGTCTAATGGACTCAGAGTTCCACATGGCTGGAGAGGCCTCACAATTACGGCAGAAGGCAAAGAACACATCTTACATGGCGACAGGCAAGAGAGAACTTGTGTAGGGGAACTCACCTTGTATAAAACCATTAGATCTCATGAGACTTATTCACTCAGGAGAACAGCATGGGAAAGACCCACCCTCATGATTCAATTACCTCCCACCCATAGCTTCCCACAACACATGGGAATTATGGGAGCACAATTTAAGATGAGATTTGGATTGGGACACAGCCAAACCACATCAATCATCTCCAACATATTTAACCATTTATTTTATTCTTGTAGCAAGAGCCACTAAAATCTACTCATTTAGCATGAATCCCATATGCAGTGCACTTTTATTACCTACAGCCCCCATGTTGTGCCTTAGAACTCTAGACTTGTTTGTCTTACAAATCTGCTATTTTGAATCCTCTGGTCTTCATCTGAAGGTGTTTTTTTTGGCTATTTTTTTCTGGTAGTTTAGACAAATATTCTCTCAAAAATTTGCATGTGATTTTAAGTCATAATCTCATCATCTGCCTTGGATAGACTTTTCAAGAGAACTTCATTCTTAGAAGGGAAGGTTTTGATAGTGATGAGATGAAAGTGGGAGTAAAGCCTTTATTCCTTTGAGTTACTTATTTAGAAAGAATGTGCAGACAGCTTTCAATCAATCATGCTATTTTGTGCATTCTTACTCAGAATAAGTTACTCCTTTTATATGCCTTTGAGAAGAGAATGTTGAGCCTTGGATTAGCAAAGCCATCAGAATAATACACAATATGTTTTATTTTTTCTTATTCCTGTTGTGGCTTTTTGCCTATAAAGCTTTTCTGACCTACAGACTGCACCTGCTCTGTCAGTCATTTACCCTTTGTTCTATAAATTGTATCAGAAGAGACTTTTATCTTTTTGAATTTACTTGGGTGATTTTACTCCTTTAGGGTTATGATGAACTCAGGTAAAAACACTACTACTATCACTGAGGAAACGAAAATGAAAATCAAGACAAGATTTTTATAATTTGCTTATTATATCTTCTTTAGTGAACTCACCATTAAGGAGGCACCATGACTGGGCTGTGAATACACTGAAGAATATGAAGTGTTATTACTTTGAGGAACTTCTACAAATTGTGTGGTCATGTACAAATTCTATCTACTCTTCTATTAATTTTTCATTAAATATGACTCAGCCTCAAATGTTCTTTTATTATAGTTATATATATATATATATATATTTTTTTTTTTTTAGTACTTACCAAGTACTTTGAGAATAGATTTTTCTGTTGGAATTCTCTGCAAAAGATCACTAAGTACTTTGATGGTAATGATCAATCACCAAACACAATTTTTCAACTCTCTTAAACTGAACAAATTTTCTTAAAATAAATAAAAATGCATAATGAAATGTATCTTAGCTAACGTTTCTTAATTTCAAGGGTATTATTTTCCTAAAGAAAACAAATGTGAGTTTAAAATGAATATTATGTAACATACATTTGAGGGCAAAGGCCAATCTGCTACTTTTCTAAACTGGTACAGTGATATTTGAGAAGGTCTTCCTTTTAATCAAAAGTCCTCTGGAACCTTTTGCTGGAAATGACTCTTGCAGATATTTTATTGCTTATTTTTTCTCATAGCCAAACGATTTACTTGTAACTATTATTAACAAATTCATATTGATAGGCTTAAAGATTTTATTGTAATTCAACCCCACTATTATGAACATTCATTATAGTTCTCTTCTTCTAAACTTCTCATTTTTCATGGTAAGGCTGTCTTATGTTAATTTCACCTGTTCAAGACCAGCCTGGTCAACATGGTGAAACCCCTGTCCATACTAAAAATACAAAAATTAGCCAGGCATGGTGGCGCATGCCTGTAATCCGAGCTACTCAGTGGGCTGAAGCAAGAGAATCTCTTGAACCGTGGAGGCAGAGGATGCAGTGAGCCAAGATTGTGCCACTGCACTCCAGCCTGGGTGACAGAGTGAGATTCTGTCTCGAAAAAAATAAATAAATAAATAAAATACAACTTACTATTTTTAACTATAATCACCCAATTAAGCAATAGAACATCAAAATTATTTTTTCCTGTTAGTTTTTACTCATTGACCAACCTTTCTGTATCCCCAAGCATGTGTTTTGAGGGGAAAAATTCTTAATTCTTAAATGAAGCCCAATTTACCAATTTTTGCAGCTATTCTGCTTTCAATGTGGCATCTAAAAAATATTGGCCTAACCCCAAATCACAAAGATTTTCTCCAATATTTTCCATTAAAAAATTTATAGTACTGGGTCTTACAGTTAGGTCTATGATTGATTTGAAATTAATTTTTACATATGCTTCGAGATATGAATAAACTTTCTTTTATCTTTGCACATAGATATCAAATTATTTCAGCACCATTTGTAGAAAAGACTAGCCTTTATTCATTGCTTTGTTATTGTATTTTGGCAGAAGATTAACTAGCTGTATTTACGTGAGTCTATTTCTGAACTCTATTCTTTTCTATCGATTTCTTTACTGTATCTATCTGGATACCAACACAAACATATCTTGATTATTGTAGCTTTGTGTTAAGTCTTGAAATCAGAAAGTATAAATCCTCCAACTCTGTTTTTCTCTTACAAAGATATGAGGCTATTTAAGTTCCTTTACTATTCCACATGAATTTTGGAACCAACTTGTTAATCTCCAAAAAAAAAAAAAAAAGCCTGTTTGGATTTTCATTGGCATTGCATTGAACCTATATACCTACATTGGGAGAACGGACACTGACATTTAGCGATAGTTACATGATACACAATCACTGTACAGATCTCCATTCATTCAAGTCTTATTTAATTTCTCTTAGCAATGTTTGCCATTTTCAAAGTAGAGGTCTTATACTCTGTGGTTAAATTTATTACTAAGTATTTTATATTCTATTGCTAGTGTAAAGGGTAATATATTTGTAATTTCAATTTATAATTGTTGCTAGTACACAGAATCATAACTTTTTAAATATTGACTATGTCCTATAAACTTTGCTAAACACACTTACTAGTTCTAGTAGCTCCTTTATATACACTGCAAATTTGCTATATAATTATATCTTATTTGAATAAAGACAGTTTTATGTATTCCTTTCCTATCTTGATGCCTTTTATTTCTTTTTCTTTTCTTACTCAACCAACTGGAACTTACAGAACAATTTTGAATAAAAGTAATAACAGATGTCTTTGCTTTGTTTTTAATGTTGTGGAGAAAATATTCAGTCTATAACTGCAAAGTATAAGGCTTGCTGCAGGTTTTTCATTAATGACCTTCATTAAGTTGAGACAGTTTTCTATTTCTGGTTTGCTACAAGTTTTGATGAGTGGATTTTGCATTTCTCAAATGTTTTTTCTGTGCCTATGAATATGATCATATGATTATCATTATTTAGCCTGTTGATGACGAATTATATTGATCTACTTTAAGATGTTAAAACAGAATTCATGAACACTAAAGGGTAGATTCATTTGCTAAAATTTTGTTAAGAATATTTGCATCTGTGCATATGAAAAGTATATGTCTGTAGCGTTCTTATATTGTGTCTAGCTGTTTGTGGCACTGGGTAATGCTGGTCTCAGAATGGATTGGGAAGAATTTTCTTCTTTTATATTATCTCCAAGAGTTTATGTAGAAAATATTCATTCACTGTTTAGTGTAACATACCATGAAACCATCAAGCCTGGAGTTTTCTTATAGTGCAGTAATGTTTTTAGCTAAAAGTTCTTTTTTAAATGATGTAGAAAATTTCACATTATCTATTTCTTCTTAAGTGATCTTTTTTAACTATTTTTTTTTTAATTTAGAGGGATTTGAAGAAGACGGGGGAAGTGAATTGAGCTTGAGTGGTCTCTGATACTTTGGTATTTCAAGAAATTTGCCTTTTCTCTCTAAGTCATCAAAGATATTAGTATTATTGACTCATAATATTTATGAATTATCATTTTTATATCTGTAAGATATTTAATTATGTCACCTCTCTTTTTCCAAATATTGATTCATGGTGTTCCTTTTGTTTTCATCAGCCTTGCTAGAATATTTTCACCTTTAATGATCTTCACAGTCACACACACAAAAACCCACACACAAAAAAAACAAGCTTGGGATGTAGTGACTTTAATATTCTTTTTTCTGGGTTATATTTCAATGACTTTTGTGTTTATCTTTATCGTTTGTTTTTATCATTTAATTTTTTCTGCTTTGTTTAGACTTAATTTTTTATCTTCTTTTTCTAAATCCTTAAAGTGGATGCTAAACTTGTTGATTTGAGACCTTTCTTCTTTTTAGCATATTTATATTTATTGATAGAAATCATCCTCTACTCACTACCTTAAAGGCATCTGACAAATTTTTATATGCTGTGTTGTTTTCATTCAGTTTAAAATACTGATTTCCTTTTGGTTTCTTCTACAAACCATAGATTATTTAAAAGTCTGCTATTTAATATTTAAATATTTGGATAATTTCTAGATATTTTCTGTTCTTGATTTGTAGTGTAAATTGTTATTCAATAGCATACCTGGTATAATTTAAATTAACTATATTGAGACTTGTTATATTACCTGTAATATGATGTATCATAGTAAATGTTTTTATGCATTTGCATGTTTTTTATGCTGCTGTTGGGTGAAGTGTTCCATAACTCTACCTAATTAGGTCATGTTTATTGATAGTGTTTTTCTAGTCTTCTAAATCCTCACTGATATTGCCCACTACTTCTATCAGTTACTGTGAAATAATTATTGAAAAGTTTCTTCCAGGACAGGAAGCTGAGATCACTCCCAGTATTCATCCTGCTAAACCCTCAGCACATCTAATTGAGAGAGATCCCAGCCACCCTCATCAAGGCTGGGACTTTGCCCCACCATCGAGTATCACATATATCACCTGCCTTAGCCACAACTGGTGCTTACCCCTCATTGGCCTGAATCCTGAATTATCAATTCAGAAAATGTTTTAAAAAATAAAAAAAAACTGAGAAAAAACTAACTAAATAAGTAAAGTGTACACCATGAGAGAACAAGTTCCAAGAGATTTCTGCTATTCCAATTACATAAAAGTCAGTAAACTCACCCACACACCAAGAATATTACTATTACAACCATTATTAGAGAAAGCCAGGATTCAAAGACTCTCTATAACTAAAAAATTTGTACAGAATCTTCACCCATACAGGCATCAATAATCAAATTAGAGCCAGGTGCAGTGGCTCATGCATGTAATCCCAGCACTTTGGGAGGCTGAAGCGGGTGGATCACTTGAGGTCAGGAGCTTGAGACCAGCTTGGCCAACATGGTGAAACCCCATCTCTACTAAGAATACACAAATTAGTCAGGCCTGGTGGCGGGTGCCTATAATTCCAGATACTTAGGAGGCTGGGGCAGGAGAATTACTTGAACCCAAGAGGCAGAGGTTGCAGTGAGCCAAGATCGCACCACTGCACTCCAGCCAGGGTGACAGAGCCAGACTCTGTCTTCAAAAAAAAAAAAAAAAAGAAAGAAAGAAAGAAAAAGAAAGATTAGACTAAAACAAACATTGAAGCCCAACCCTCAAGAGGGAAAAATAAGAAATTCTAAACAAAACGAAAACAAAAACACAGTCTAATCAAAAATAAATTCAAGAGTAATTTGAAAAAATCATCTATGCACATGAGAAAGAACCAGAAAAGTAATTCTGGTCTTATGACAAAAAATGTTTCCACAGCAGCCCCTAAGGATCACATTAGCTCTCCAGCAATGGATCCAAACCAAGAAGAAACTTCTGAATTGCCAGAGAAAATACACAGAAGGTTGATTATTGAGCTACTCAAGGAGATGCCAGAGAAAGGTGAAAACCAATTTAAAAAGTTTAAAAAACACAAACGATATGAATGAAAAATTTTTGAGAGAAACAGATATCATAAAGAAAAAGCAATCACAACTTCTGGGAATAAAGAACTTATTTAGAGAATACAAAATGTAGTGGAAAGTTTCAACAATAGACTAGAACATGTAGAACAAAGAACTTCAGAGCTCGAAGATAAGGCTTTCAAATTAACCCAATCAGAAAAAGACAAAGAAAGGAGAATTTAAAAAAATGAACAAAGCCCCTAAGAAATTAGTGATTATGCTAAATGGCCTAACTTAAGAATAATAGGTGTTCCTGAGGAAGAAAAGAAATCTAAAAGTTTGGAAAACTTATTTGAAAGAATACTTGAGGAAAAATGTCCTGGCCTTCTTAGAGATCTAGACATCCAGATACAAGAAGCTCAAAGAATTCCTGGGAAACTGATTGCAATAAGATTATCACCAAGGCACATAGTCATTAGATTATCCAAAGTCAAGATAAAGGAAATAATCTTAAGAGCTGTGACACAAAAGCATCAGGTAAGCTATAAAGGAAAACCTATTAGATTAACAGCAGATTCCTGAACAAAATAATTGTCAGGCAATAATTTTGTATTCAGCAAAACTAAGCTTCATAAATCAAGGAGAGATAGTCTTTTTCAGACAAACAAATGCTGAGGAAATTTGTCAGTACAAAATCAGCACTACAAGAAATGATAAAAGGAGCCCTAAATTGTGAAACAAAATCTTGAAATATACCAAAATAGAATTTCCTTAATGCATAAATCTCACGGAGCCTATAAAAGAATAACACAATGAAATAAAAACCAAAGTATTTAAGCTGTAACTAATATGATAAATAGAAGATGATATGGTTTGGCTCTGGGTTCTCACCCAAATCTCATCTTGTCACTCCCATAATTCCCACATGTTGTGGGAGGGACCCAGTGAGAGATGATTGAATCATGGTGGCAGATCTTTCCCATGGTGTTCTCATGATAGTGAAGGGGTCTCATGAGATCTGGTGGTTTTAAAAATGAAAGTTTCTTGGCATACATTCTCTCTTTCCCTGCTGCCATCCAAGTAAGATGTGATGTGCTCCTCCTAGTCTTTCACCATAATTGTGAGATCTCCCCAGCCATGTGGATCTGTAAGTCCAATAAACCTCTTTATTTTGTAAATTGCCCAGTCTTGGGTATGCCTTTATCAGCAGTGTGAAAACAGTCTAATATGGTAAATTGGTACCAGTAGAGTGGAGTGCTGCCAAAAAGATACCCAAAAATGTGGAAGTTACTTTGGAACTGGGTAACAGGCAGAGGTTGGAACAGCTTGGAGGGCTCAAAAAAAGGCAGGAAAAATGTGGGAAAGTTTGGCCATTCTTAGAGACTTGTTGAATATCTTTGACAAAAAATGCTGATAGTGATATAAACAATAAGGTCCAGGCTGAAGTGGTCTCAGACGGAGATGAAGAACTTGTTGGGAATTGGAGCAAAGGTGACTCTTGTTATGTTTTAGCAAAGAGAATGGTGGCATTTTGCCTCTGCCCTAGAGATTTGTGAAACTTCAGACTTGAGAGAGGATGATTTAGGGTATCTAGTGGAAGAAATTTCTAAGCAGCAAAGAATTCAAGATGTGACTTGGGTGCCGTTAAAGGCATTTGGTTTCAAAGGAAAACAGAGCATAAAAGTTTGGAAAATTTGCAGCCTGACAATGCAATACAAAAGAAAATCCCATTTTCTGAGAAGAAATTCAATCTGGTGACAGAAATTTGCATAAGTAATGAGGAGTCAAATGTTAATCACCAAGGCAATGGGGAAAATGTCTCCAGGCCATGTCAGAGAACTTGCAGAAGGCCTCCCATCACAGGCCCAAAGGCCAAGGGGGAAAAAGTGGTTTAGTGAGACTGCCCCAGGTTCCTTGTGCTGTGTGCAGCCTAAAACCTTGATGTCCTGTGTCCCAGCCGCTCTAGCCATGGCTGAAAGGGGCCAGCGTAGAAGTTGGGCTGTGGCTTTAGAGGGTGCAAGCCTAAAGCATTGTCAGCTTCTACATGGTGTTGAGCCTGCAGGTGCACAGATGTCAAGAATTGAGGTTTGGGAACCTTCACCTAGATTTCAGAAGATGTATGGAAATACCTAGATGCCCAGGAAGAAGGTTGCTGTAGGGGCAGAAGCCTCATGGAGAACCTCTGCTGGGGCAGGGCAGAAGAGAAATTTGGGGTCGGAGCTCCCACAAAGAGTTCCTACTGGGCCCATGCCTAGTGTACCTGTGAGAGGAGGCCACCATCCTCCAGACCCCAGTATGATAGATCCACTGACAGCTTGCACTATGCACCTGGAAAAGCCACAGATACTCAATGCCAGCCATGAAGGCAGCCAGGAAGGAAGCTGTACCCTGCAAAGCCACAGGGGCAGAGCTACCTCAGATCATGGGAACCCATCTTCTGCATCATCAGCATGACCTGGATGTGAGACACGGAGTCAAAGGAGGTCATTTTGGAGCTTTAAGATTTGATTGTCCCAGTAGATTTTGGACTTGCATGGGGACTGTAGCCCCATTGTTTTGGCCAGTTTCTCCCATTTGGAATGGCTGCATTTACCCAACGCCTGTACCCCCATTGTACCTAGGAAGTAACTAACTTCCTTTGGATTTTATAGGCTCATACAAAGTAGGGGCTTCCCTTTTCTTGGCTGAAACTTTGAACTGTGGACTTTTGAGTTAATGCTGAAATGAGTTGAGACATTGGGGGACTGTTGGCAAGGCGTGACTGGTTTTGAAATATGAGGATATGAGATTTGGGAGGGGCCGGGGTGGAATGATGAGCTTTGGCTCTCTGTCCCCACACAAATCTCATCTTGTAGCTCCCATAATTCCCACATGTTTTGGGAGGCACCCAGTGGAAGATGATTGAATCATGGGGTCAGGTCTTCCTCAAGTTGCTCTCGTGATAGTGAATGGGTCTAGTGAGAACCAATGATTTTAAAAACAGGAATTTCTCTGCATAAGCTCTCTCTTTGCCTGCTGCCATCCAAGTAAGATGTGACTTGCTCCTCCTTGCTTTCTGCCATGTTTGTGAGTCCAATAAACCTCTTTCTTTTGTAAATGGCCTAGTCTCAGGAATGTGTTAGCAGTGTGAAAATGGACTAATACAGAAGAATACCCCACATCTCAATACTAATGTTGAATGTAAAATGACCTAAAGGCTCCACCTAAAAGATACAGAATGGTAGAATGGGTAAAAACCCACCAATCAAGTATCTGCTGTCTTCAAGCGACTCAACTAACACAAGAGGACTCATATAAACTTATGATAAAAGAGTAAAAAAAGATATTCCACACAAATGAAAACCAAAGTGAGCAGGAATAACTATTTTTAGGTCAGACAAAACAAACTTTAAAACAATAACAGTAAAAAAAGTCAAAGAAGAATATATCCTTTATATAATGATAAAAAGATCAGGCCAAAAGGAAGATATTGCTATACTAAATATATATTTTCCTAACACTGGGCTTCCAAATTTATAAAACAATTACTACTAGACCTAAGAAATGAGATAGGAACACAATAATAGTGGGGGACTTCAATAATTCACTGACAGCACTAGACAAGTCATGAAGACAGAGAGTCAGCAAAGAAACACTGGGCTTAAACTATACCCTAAAACAAATGGACTTAACAAATATTTACAAAACATTTTACTCAACAACTGCAGAATATACATTTTTCTCATCAGCACATGAAACATTCTCCAAGATAGACCATATGACAGGCCACAAGACAATTCCTAGTAAATTTAAGAACATCAAAATCATATTGTCTTCTCAGACCACGGTGGAATACAACTGGAAATTAACTACAAAAAACTCTCAAAACTTTACAAATGCATGAAAATTAAATAATCTACTCTTGAATGATCTTTTGGTTAACAATGAAATCAAGAAGACAATTTAAAAAATTATTTGAACTCAATGATAATAGTGACACAACTTATCAAGACCTCTGGGATACAGCAAAGGTGGTACTAAGAGGAAATTTCACAGCATTAAATCCCTACATCAAACAGTCTGAAAGATCACAAATATACAACCTAATGTCACACCTCCAAAAACTAGAGAACAAGAACAAACTTAACCCAAACCCAGCAGAGGAAAATAAATTATAAAATCAGAGAAGAACTAAATGAAATTGAATTAAAAAAACACAAAAGGTAAATGATAAAAACCTGGTTCTTTGAAAAGATAAACAAAATTGATCAATCATTAGTGAGATTCATCAAGAAAAGAAGAGAGAATATCTAAATAAGCTCATTTACAAATGAAATGGGAGATATTACAACTGATACCTCAGAAATACAAAGGATCATTGTAGGCTACCATGAACACCTTTATATGCACAAACTAGAAAATCTAGTGGAGATGGATAAATTCCAGAAAATATACAACCTCCTAGATTAAATCAGGAAGAAATAGAAACCCTAAACAGACCAACAACAAACAGTGAGATTGAATCACAATTTTAAAAAATTGTCAACAACAAAAAAAGTCCATAACAAGATGGATTCACAGATGAATTCTATCAGACATTCAAACAAGAATTGATATAAATCCTGTGGAAACTATTTCAAAAGATAGAGAATGAGGGAATCCTCCCTAAATCATTCTATGAAGCCAGTAACATGCTAATACCCAAACCAGGAAAGGGCATAACAAACAAACAAACAAAAAACTACAGATCCCTAATGAACATAGATGCAAAAATCTTCAACAAAATACTAGCTAACCAAATCCAACAGTGTATCAAAAAGATAATACATCATGATCAAGTGGGTTTCATACCAGGGATGCAGGAAAGATTTGACACACACAAGTTAATAAATGTGACATATCACATGAACAGAATGAAAAACAAAAATTATGTGATCATCTCAATAGACACTGAAAAAGCATTTGACAAAATCTAGCATCCCTTTACGATAAAAAAAACCTCAACAAAATTGGCATAGAAGGGTCATACCTCAAAGTAATAAAAACCATGTATGACAAACCCACAGCCAACATCATACTGGATAAGGAAAAGTTGAAAGCATTCACCCTGAGAACTAGAACAAGACAAGAATCCTCACTTTCACCACTTATACTCAACAATACTTAAAGTCCTAGCCAGAGCAATCAGACAGGAGAAAGAAATACAGGGCATCTAAATTGGAAAAGAGGAAATCAAACTGTCTCTGTTCGCTGACGATATGATCATATACCTAGAAAATCCTAAAGACTCATCCAAAAAGCTCCTAAATCTTATAAATGAATTCAGTAACAATTCAGGATACAAAATCAATGTACACAAATCAGAAGCACTGCTATATGAGTTCCCAAAAGTCCATTATATCATTCTTAATTAAGCTCCCACTTATAAGTAATAACATATGATACTTGGTTTTCCATTGCTGAGTTACTTAACTTAGGATAATTACCTCCAACTCCATCCAAGTTGCAGTAACTTATCTTGTTCCCTTTTAGGGCTGAATAGTATATTGTCTGATAACAATATAGACACATCCACTTTCTTAGGATTAGTGATATCATTAGCATTATATATATATGTTAGAATAACATTAGCTAATAATATCACTAGTATACAAAAATATATAACCTTTTATATATATTGTCAATCATTTTACTTTACTTTTAACCTATCTGTATCTTTATAGTTGAAGCAGGTTTGTTATACTAACATACATTTGAATGTTGCTGTTTTAATCCATTATCTGTATTTTGAGGTATTTAAATCATTTGTTTTTAAAGTGATTGCTGAAAAGGGTAGCTTTATATCTATAGTTTTAAATTTTGTTTTACATTTGCCCCATTTGTACTTTGTTACTTTTTCCACTTTATCTGCTTTCTTTTGGATTGAGAATTTTCACCATCCATTTTATCTCCATTGTTTTCTTATTAGCTATAACTCGTTTATTTTAATAATATATAATAAAACAACTTTTGTTTTAATTTTCAGTAGTTCCTTTAGGGTTTCTATTGTTTATTTGTTTTACTACTTTAAAAATGTTTATCTACTGACTCCTGTCTTTTCTTCTTGCATTGTTTGTTGTTATTCTTCTCTTTGTTCCTCTGTACACAGTCTACTCTATATACTCCAGCTAATTTTAAGCATTATGCATATATCATGCCTTTTTTGACTTTATTGAACTTAGCTATCCTCTCCTCTTCTTCATGAACCCCAATTATACTTACATTAGGGTGCTTGAAGTCATCCCATAGCTCAGTATATTTTGTGTCTGTTTCAACGTAGACAGTTTCTATTTCCATGTCTTGAAGTTCACTAATCATTTTTTCTAAAATTTCTAACACAGTTAACTATATCATCGCAATTTTCATCTCAAACACTGTAGTTTTATTCTAATTTTCTAAATGGATCTCTTTTTATCTGTCATTTTGCTACTTGCCATGCTTGACATTTCATTTACATTCTTGAATAAGTTGTGTATAGATACATATATATATAACTGTTTTAATCTTAATGATTACTAATTCTTATCATTTGTTTTATTCCTGGGTTAATTTTTATCCACATTATGGATTGCATTTTTCTGTTTATTTGCACATCTGATAATTTTTCATTGTGAATTTTACTTAGTTGAGTGTATAAACACATACACATGTATTTCCTATAAACATTCTTTAGCTTTGTTTTAGGATGAACTTAAATTAGTTGGAAATAGCTCGATTCTTCTGAGGCTTGTTTAATATTAGTTTTGTTTGGTAGAATCAGAGCAGCAATTTGTCTAGAGTTAATTTTGTCCCATTACTAAGACACTATCTTTTTTAGCACTCTACCTGATGTCTTGTGAATTTTAAGGCTTTTCTACTTTGACTAGTGGGGAGACATACATTCTCAGCTCTATGTGTGTTTCAAGAAATATTCCCTCCAAACCTTTTATGTAATTCTTTCCCCAGACTTTGGGATTTTCCTTACGTATATGTACAACTGGTATTCAGCTGAAGTCTCTGAACATGTATGGGGCTCTATCCCTTTGAGTCTCTTTCTTTTTACATATGCAGCTTATGCACCTCTGGCTACCTTGGTCTCCGTCTCAACTCTTATCTTTTTAACTCGGGGAGATTGCCAGGCTCTGCTGGATTACCTCTCCTTGCCCTGTGGGCTGAAAATTCTTTCTAGATAGTAGGCTGGGACAATTGTAGATTTACCTGTTTTGCATTCCCTCTTTCAGAAATTACTGTTCTTCACTGACTAAAATCCATGGCCAAAAACTGTGTTTTCACATATCTTGTCTGATTTTAAGTTGTATCCTTCAGTAGGATAAACCCGGTCATTGTTACTTTATCTTGGCCAGATGGCAAGGCTTTCATTAAGTCATTTATGGGATTACTTTTCATGGTGTAATGCATTTAATACAAATAAAACTTTGTTTAGATGTGCCTTGATTTGTTTAATTCTCATTTTTGCATGTTTAATTTTATAATGATGCTTTTGGCTATATAAAAAGCCAAAAGCTTTTTATATATTTTTTTGTATTTTTTTAATATATGTTTTTTTGTATCTCAACATCATTATTTATCTCAAATTATTTCTGCCAGTTAATTATTAGAAGTAAATATTATTGGTAAAAGTGTGTAGTTATTTTAATCCCTTGATGACTTTTACTTCTATTTTGAATAATGTAAAGTACTGATTTTCTGAATAATCTTTATTATAGCTAAAGAGGGAAACTCATTTCCAAATTAGCAGAGAAATGGAAAATTAATATCATGAAAATACTAGGACATAGTGACTATTTCATATTTTAAAACACCTGGAAGTTTTTTTTTAATCCTTTTTAGGCTTAAATAATATACTTTCAAACTCTAATGATTTATACAAATTATTAAAATTGTTTCATTGAAATTTGGCTTTAATTAATATCATAATTTTCACCTGTTATGATGGAAAATTTAAAATTCAGATATATAGATAATATTTTTATTTTTAGAAGATGTAATTTGTTTTTATGATACATAAAATTTCAGTGCAAAATTGGTAGACTGTTCAAACAAAGATGAAGAAACCACATTTTTACTTAAGGAACTATTTCAGGTATAAACATTTTGTCTTAAATGTGTTATGTGAGCAGAAGCTATGGAAAGCAAACAACAAAATTTAGAATAAATGGTATTTGTAATAAAAATTGTTTTGAAAATATCAACAAAATTGATTTATGAAATTGATTTTCAGGAACACAATTCAAAGAGAATCCTTGTTGTGTGAAAAAGTATACTTATATTTCTTTAAACTATGGAAACCAGACTTCTGTCTCTTTCACAAAACATTTCTAATTAATACAGAAATTGATTTATGATAGATGAATAGTGAGGAGACAATTAACAGTGACTATTATATTTTAAACTGCTTTCAATAATGTGAAATTATAATCTGTTGTAATTTTATCAGCATAAAAGTAAGATGTCTGAAGAAAAGAAAAAATTGATTTATATTTCAATATTTTTGACTGAAAAATCGCATCTGTATAATGTCAATAAGGTAGAAAAGGAAGGTGAATACTGGAAATGATGTTGTAAGTAGGGGTATGGATGGAAAAAAATTAATTTTCTTCCTTTTTGGGCGAAATATTTCATAGTTTTTGTACAAATAGGCAATCAGATGAATTTTGAAAGCAGTAGAAAATTCTACTTCTTTGTACATTATAAAGCTATAGCTTTGTACTCTATCACTGCAAAAAGTAGATTTATCACTGAAATTTTAAAAAATAGAAAGAAACCCATTATGACCTTCCAGCTTAGAGAAATACCTTGTTTGTTCACAAAGGATATTAGTTATTAATTACTTATTTCATTCATTCATCTCTTCATTTATTCAATGACTTAACAAATTATGTTTTCACAGTCTTCCCTTTGTTTCCTAGTAGCCACATGTTCATGCTGCTGCAGAGAAGACACAATCTCTAGCTTCTCCTTTTCATGCCCAGCCCACCATACTATTACTCTGAGACTTAGCGTTCAGCCCACTTAAGGAAGAAAGTTTCTGATGGAGTTTCAATCACCCTTTGACCACCAAAGTTTAAGAGCTGCTGAAGATGAATATACATGGCAGTCTTGCATTTTCTGGCTTAAACTGTTTACTCACCTTCTCTCAATACCTTTCAGGGTTAATCTTGTCATTCCTCACTTTCCAATTCTCCTTAGTCATTTGGAGAGGCCCAAAACATCTCTGCCATCAATCATCAAGTGAACATGCATTCCCACACAATACTGTATGCTCATTAATCTCTTTTAATCTCTTAACTCCCAAATTCTTCAAGTCTGTCCTTTGCAAAGTAACTTCTGTCAACAGCAAAGCACTGATATACTCTAACTCTGCTCTAAATGTTCCCTTCATTCTCTTCCTGTAACTGAAATCTGGCTATTCCATGACAACATCATTTCCCCTATAGCTCTTTCATGACACATTTTTGGCCTCTTAAGGACTTTACTACCAAAATTTCCACCCCCGTGACCCTTTCTCTGCATACAGATCCTCAATTACTAGTAATCATTTCATCTTCTTCAAAAAACAAAAACTAAAACTTGACATCCACATCTCACTCAACGTCCACCCCAGCTACAATCTTCTCTCTGTTGCCCTCAACAACAAAACTTACAGAAAAGGTCTTTCATAGACAATATCACCACTTTCTTACCTATGTTTTTTCTTCACACCACCTAGGTTGAGCTCTCAGGCATATATCTTTATTGAGTCTATTCTTTTCAAGGTTATCAATGACCCATATGTTACCAAACTCATAGCTATCTCCTTCTTGAAATACTTTCTTCCTTTGAATCCCCTGGTGTTCCTCTCATTACACCTCTCAGTCTCCTTACATAGCTCTCTCCTTCCCTGTTCAATCCCTAAGGTTGACATGTTCTAAGCCTGGTTCTGAACCCTGTTTTCACTGTCTAGAATTTAGTCACTATCTCTGTATATTCTCATCTAATTCTGCAACTTCAAATACTATCACTGTGATAGCCATCTTTCCAAAACACTAAATTGGTTATTCCACATGACTTCATGATATTTCCACTTATAATTCTAAAAGATATCATATAATTTTTTCCAAATATAACTTTTACCCCCATTTTCCTGTTGTTTTTATTTAATTTTAGTAAATTATCTACTAAGTTAAGTCAGAAATTCCTTCCTCAAAATTTTCACCAATCAAATAGCAATTCCTTCACTCCACTTTCAGAATATATTCTAAATTCATTCACTTCTCAACATTTCAACTACTACCAACATGGCCACAGTGTGTACCTATGTGGATTGTGCACTGATCAAGGGTTTCTATCCATAGGTTAAGTCTCTGGGAAAATTTAGCTCTTGCTTCACTTGTTATCCCGGTGTTGAGTTGTGTATTTTTGATTATTATATGCATTATTTTTATATAAATATTTTTCCTACTTTGAAAGCTTTGCACTGAAAGAATTATACTTTTCAAATTGCATAAAGAAGACATGCTGGCTGATCCCTAATACCAATCTAGTGCAAGTAACCATCATAACTTCTCCAGATAACTTTAACAACCTTCTGTCTTCTTTCTAGCTACTCTTTCCTCAATACAATTTCTTCAATACGACAATACATATAGCAGCCAAAATAAAATTGTAAATCAGAACATGTTGCTTCCTAGCTTAAAATCTTTCCCTGATTACAAAGTTCAACTTAATCAATATCTTGTTTGTTTATCCAAGCTCATCTTCTGTCATTTTAGAGATACTTGGTGCATCATCCCATGTAAGAAACTGTGGTTTAGGCCTCCCATTTTTCCTAACATGTTTACACCTCACTCTCTGGTTGTTGGCTCCTTCTCATCACTTAGAGATTAGCCTAATGGTTATATCCTTAAGGTTTTTCTCTGATGCTCCAAACTAAAGTAGGCTCGCAATCACTATTAATTTAATATTTTGCAGTTTTTGTATTATTAATTTATTCTTTATTTCCCAATATATTTATTGTTTAGTCTATGTTTCTCTTCTCTAAAATAAAAGTTCCTTGCCTGTCGTGTTCACTGTCGTTTCTCAACATTTTGAATTGTGTGTAGCACATAGTAGACACTTGATAAATATTTGTTCAATGGTTGACTGAATATCTTAAGTGAATGTTTATTACGTCATATAGTGAATCATTGTGGAATATCTTTGTGTGTTTAATAGGGAAAAAAGGCAAAAACAAATGCTTTTGCCTTTTACAAACAAGTATATATAAAAGTATATATTTATTACTTTATAAAAAAGTAATTTCTATAGTCATCTTATATACAATCTCTCCTCCCAAACCCATCTCAGTGTATGCCCAGAAATCAGAAACTTGTTAGAAAGGAAAATTCATTGTTAAAAAAAGAAAATTACGTTATTAGTTGGTTATTATGATTATGGATGAGAGATATAAATTTGAGACTCATATAGTTTAGTAGCTTTTGAAACAGAGACAATAGAGAAAATTCTAAAGAGAAGAGAAGAGGAACTAACATAGTAAAATAAATTGATGACATGAGAAAGTCAGGAAGACAGAATAGTGTATAATCTCAGAGTGGAAGAAAGAGCAAAGTGTTTGTAATCAACTTTATATGTGTATATGGATAGACATGCTTTAGTTACCAAACCTAGCTAATTTATGTTGTTACAAGATTTTTAAAAATTAACTACTGAGATGTAATTAATATCAAATGAGAATATTGATTTGTGATATTACCCCAGTTTTCCAAAGCCTTGAGCTTTTTTTAGTGAGACATTAATAAAATGGTAAGCATGTAATACAATATATTAAACAACATTACCTGTTCAGCAATTGTTTCCTTGTCTGTCATACTTGATGAAACCTCAGTTCAAATTTTGTAGTCTGACTTTTTAATATGATAAATACGTTTTAATAGTAGTCTTCACCTTAAATTTTAAAAGCACACAGGGATATTGTAATTCACTACTGCATGTCCTTATAGTGAACTGATTAAGAAAGAGCAATTGAGTTCAAAATCCTAACTGTTGTGTATTAACAGTGTGACATTGGGAAAGCAATAAAATCTTCTTAAGTCCAAATTTTCTCACTTGCAAATGGATCTATGTTACTTTATATTGTTGTTGTAAAAATAAGTGATGTAATATGTCTAAAGCTATGGAAACATTGCCTAGTACCACATAGCAATGCTAAATATATAGGAGTTTTAATTTATTTTAAACGTAAATTATTCCCAGGTTGAAAGACATTATTATACCCACGTTAAAAATGTCCGACACTGGTTTCAAAACGTGTGTCTGTGATACAGATTTTCCACATTACATTCCATGTAAGTATTTTTCTTCCATGATTGTAAACACCAACTATACCAAAAAATATATGAATTCCTTTAAAATCATAGGAATTATTGACATAGATAAATGCACAAAAAGAGAAAAGTTTTCTAATAGACTCAGAGTTATATATGGTAGTAGAATATGCTGTTTTTCCACTGTTTTGGGCAACTGCTCCTCTCCTGCCTACCATCCCCATCCACTGCTTCAACCTTGTGGTTTGAATAAGGCTGACATCTTATAAGTCTCACCCTCTCTCCCTGATTAATTATAAAGAGTTGCATATTCAAATACCTTCTTCAGGAATTTTGAGATTGAAATTTAAGAAAGAAAAGTAGTTCTTCTCAGATAGTGAGGGAAGGAATATGAATACAGAAGCATCTGGTAGTCAGTGATGTCCACAGTGCAGAAAAAGTTTATCTGCAGAAGGCGGGTCTAAACTTGACAATATAGAATGGAGGGAGAACCTAGACATGTTCCTTTTTTTATTTATGGCTGTCCCTGGAGTCAGTAGCTCCTATGACTTTTGGTGGTTTGTTTTCATCAACAAATATACTCCCCATTTTGGCCTAAGTTTGTTCAAGTGGATTTCCTTCAATCAAAAAAAAGTGTTCTATAAAATGTTTATTGTCTAACATTACTATGTATAATTAATTTATTTGAAGAGCAAAGCAAAACATAATAAAACAAAGCTATCTTCACATCATATTATTTATATTTGAGAATTTCTGGGTGGAAAATCAAACTTTGTACAATAACGATTATATTTGGAGAGCAATACATTGAGCTTCAGGAATGTGCATTTCTTATATTGTTAATTTTTCCTTTAAGAAGGAAATATGAATGATATTTGTTTTCCCCAAAGAGTATAAAATAATTTGCACTGATTAGAATTGGCTCTTCTAACCCCAAAGTGCTCTGTTCTAGAAGCTGCAGAAACAAAGAATTTAGTAATTTACAATAATGATGCAACTGTTACTAGTTATTTGCCTTATTCGTGGATTTATCTCATTCTTTTTTCAATTTGCTTAGAAATGTAACGAGCTTACAATATGACAAGACTCTTGGATTTATTATTAAAGATCCAACAATTGTCAGCTATTTTTACCTCCTAAATGTTTTTTACACTCTTCCATTTCCACCAGTAAAATATTTGAATTGTTATATATGATCACATATAGAGATTTTCAAAATACAATTTCCCAATACTTTACCATGTAGTTTATTTTTTAAAAAAGTATTTGAACTTACTACTGCTAAACATAAAGCACTGTCACCAATTCAATGCAAAAGTGGAAAAGAAAGTAACACTCAACATTTAAGCAGCTATGTGCCATTATTTGCAAGCTATTCTGTTTCTAAAAAGAAGATTAGAGTAGTGGTTTATAAACAAAAGAAACACTCAAAAATATTTATTTTGTTTTTTACTGGAATGTGGCATCAGTACATTTACCCAGGAATGATTTTATAGCCATTTTTTGTTTCGGACTATGTAGAAAATACAAAAAAATAAAAAATAAAATTTCTTTCTTTTTCTCTAAAGCACATACAAACAGGACTTCTTTTACTGGAAAAGACTCAGATGCTTCCCTCAGCGATGACTATAAATGCTGGACTGCACTTACACATTGAACAGTGAGCATGCTGTTTGATGGCTTTGAATCATCTTTGAGTTTTTCCTGTCTACAATCCTTAATACTCCAGAGGCTTTTGCCCTCTCCTCCTCTGCTGCACACACAAACTCTTGTTTCTTAATTTGGCCTTTAGCTATGTGCTGCCTCATGTTACTTTCTTTTCCATATACAGGCTCTGAAGGAATTACCTCTGTTTTATACTGCTAGTATTGGCTTGACCATGAGATAGTAACTCAATGTTTTACAGTCGAACATTGAATAATATGAGTACCACAACTACTATAATAAATAAAATACTAGGCAGAAATTTTTTTAACTCGATTGAGTAAAAGGTATTGTTTTGCTAATTTTACTGATTCAGATACCAGAACAGTGCTATCAGATGTGGTATACCAATCCAGATACTATCTATGAAGAGAGGTTCTTTACTGTATATTTATGGAAAGGATAAAATCAGAAATGTAAGTTTACTTAAAATTACTAAATTCACACTCTAAGATGAGGTTAATATACATTTTACTGTAAATTTCGCATAGACTAACAGATAAAAACTGAGATTCAATAGATTCTGATGCAATTTTACAGCTCATATAAAGTTTCTTCTTATATATTATATAATTGTTCTGTAAATATTGTCCCATATATAATTTATTGCTGTATGCTAAGAATGTAGTAGAAAAGGAAAAGAATTCCTTGCACACGTATGCCTAGGAGAATAATCTTTGAATTTGCTCTTCTTTCACTTTCTAAATTCAATTAATCCTGCTGCTTTTCTGGGTTTATCTACCATAGGCAACCACTTTCATCTAATCAACCCTCCATATTATAATTTGCAGGATGTAACTTTGTTAAAAAGGCATTTCCCCATATACTTAATGTGAAGTCTGTGGCTTTTTAACGTATTAATTCAAGAATAGCTTCTTTCCATGTTTCATGACTTTGAGTTTCTGTCTCTTGTGTACCACCTACTGATATGGGAAACTCAATACAAATTTTGTAGAATAAATGTATGAGGGTCCTTATAGTAGAAGTAGTAACTTTCGGATGAAGATTCCATCTGAAAAAACTAACCACCTCCCTAACTGGATAGAAATAGATATTGGGAAGTAAGAAAGCTCCCTAAAAGCATAGCTCAGTGGTCTAGACACTAGACGATATTACGGTGGCTGCATCATATAGATGCATCTTCATTTTGAAGTGCTTTTAAAAATGTACTTTATATGACTGTTAAAATTTAACTAGTGTATATAAAATACTATGCAAATAGTAAATGACCAACAAATAGTAAAAGCATCATTATTCATCATTAGATGAAATCTATTTCTGTGTTATTTTGGGTTGAAAGACAGGTGGCTGCTGAAATCATTTTGCAATCCAACTCCTTTCCCTTCCTACTTCTAGTGTGTCAGAAATAAGTTAATTTGCATCTTACTGAAAGGGGATGTGCTTATGATTATCTTGAAGATAAGGGAAGAAATCTTCAAAATACTTGTAGGCTATTTAATAATATTTCCAGTATTTTTTTTTTTTTTTTTTTTTTTTGAGACGGAGTCTCACTCAGTCGCCCAGGCTACAGTGCAATGGCGCCATCTCGGCTCACTACAAGTTCCGCCTCCCGGGTTCATGCCATTCTCCTGCCTCAGCTTCCAGAGTAGCTGGGACTACAGGCAACCGCCACTACGCCCGGCTAATTTTTTTTTTTTTTGTATTTTTTTTTTAATAGAGACGGGGTTTCACCGTGTTAGCCAGGATGGTCTCGATCTCCTGACCTCGTGATCCGCCCATCTCGGCCTCCCAAAAAGTGCTGGGATCACAGGTGTGAGCCACCGCTCCCTGCCTCCAGTATTCTTAAACTGATTTGTAGGTGGGATTTGCATCTACTTACTTTACGTGATATACAATAGAGTACGTTTAAGGCAATGTTATTCAGAGATGTATTTATACAGTGACATACACGATTCCATCTGCAGTCATTTATTTTCAGCCTACACATTTTTAAATGTTTGTAGAATTATTCCCCTAAACATGATCATACAATTTCTCGATTGATTTTCTTACTTCTCTATACAGTCATGAAAGACAAAAGATAAGATTTTTTTTTTCAATTTCCTATCCATAATTTTACATGTTGGTAGAGAAACAAAAACTTATGATAGTATTTTTTGGTATTGTTTTGATGTATTCTGGGATGGTCATGCTTTATGACACAAATTGAATTCCATGGCATGCTTTGAAATAATGATGTGGAACAAAATACTCTTCATATTCTAAAATTTCTGATTTTGCTTCCCTTTCATTTCTTTGACTAAGGACATTTTCATTTAATATAAAAATTATTGAAAATTTTATTTTATGGGCAGTGTGGGAGAAAGGGGTTACAATTAGTAGATTATATATATTACAATGTTTAAAAAAATTGATCATCATCTTAGTCAGTTTGAGCTGCTGTAACTAAGTATTATAGGCTGGGTAGCTGATAAACAACAAAAATTTATTACTCACAGTCTGGACACTCAGAAAACCAAGATCAATGCACCAGCAGTTTTGGTGAGGGCCCATTTCCTGGTTTCCGACAGCTGTTTTCCTCACATGGCAGAAAAAGAGGAGAGAGCTCTCTGGGGTCTCTTTTATAAGGGCACTAATCCCATTCATGAGGGCTCTCCACTCATGAGCTAATTATTTCCCAAAGGTCCCATGTCCTAATACTATTACACTGAGGATTAGGACTTCAACTATGAATTTGCAAGTGGAACACAAACATTTCCATCCATAATAACCTGTTATTTGGATGGAATGAGTTTGGAAACATTACAGCATGGGGGAAACTATACAATTATAGGAATAAGACATCTGGCCCAATTCAAAGAGGATTACTTGCAACAACAGACTCACATAGGTGGGAAGCATGGATTTGAGGAGAATCCTCATGAGCAGTCATTTGGTGGGAAGAAGCAGCAGAGCAAGACTACTTGGAAGAGCAGAAATAAGTAATAGCAAAGGACAACTACGTTTAACTTTTGAATGTGCACTTAAGGTTTCATAGGCAAAATGGTAGGCCACCGTGAGAGAGAAAAAAGACTGATGAGAAACATGTACATTAAACTTTGTGACTAATAATATCATATGCAGGAGTTTCCCAGCCATCAGCACTGTCCCTGAAGACCATTTATACCTCACAGCATTAATATTCATTAGGTGAAACACCATATGTTGCACAGCAGGGTGCATTGCCAACAGACTGTTTGTCATAGAGTCAGATTTAATAAAGCATTGTAAAACAAACATTATGATGATAAATACAAAATGACAGGCTAATTAAGAGAATCTTAATTGCCATTTTCCATAATAACATTTGTTTAGTTGTATCTGTCTTGGTGCTAGTGTTCTTCTTGTTCCATTTTCCTTCCATGCACATTTTCCATCACCTGCCTCCAAGGGAAAATCATGCCACATATGATTTAAAGTACTTAATGCCTCCTTTTCTCTTCCCACAAGTTGATTATAAGTTAATGAATAGCTGTGTGCCATCAATGTTCACAAATATTAACCTTTAATTCTACAGGCATGGAAAGTATGTCTAATGAAGGTTGTGTACTCACTTGCTCTGTGAAATAATAAGTTGCAGAAATCAGTTCATACTCTAAAGCCAAATATCACCTGTGATTTTTCATAAAATATCTGGGGTTAACTTTTTTTCAGCCTGAAGAAAGCCATCCTAGATTTCTGACACCGAATTTTTGTTGTTGTTGTTTAAAGAAGGCCTGAACTCCTATCAAATTTCATTGACTAGCTGTCCAGCCAGGCAAAGAGCCAGATAATTTACTTCCCTTACATCCTATTATTAAACAGAGGCTCTCTAATCTTCACCCATGCCTTCTGTACAATATTTTCCATGCTTTCTTATTGGCATAGACTACAGATGGTGATACTACCATATTTAGTCATTTGAAAAATAAATATTTTATTTGTTCTCCCCTTCCTTTATAAAATGATATTTAAAATGGGTATATTCTTGTTGCTTTTTAAAAACAGGAGATTGCTAAGAAGTCAGAATAGTCTCTAGGAAAAAGATGACTAGCCAGCTCTCAAGAGTTTTACTGTATTTCCTTGGTACTGTTATTAGAATGAAAGTCCTGGTTCTCAGCTTTGCAGTATTACCCAATGATCAGACTGAAGGAAATTCAAAATCAAGGGCATGCTGGTAAATATTTAATAACCAGCACTCAGATGAGGAAAAAATATACTCTGAGTTGCAGGATTTGTTGATCTCAAGCCACCAATAAGATGCCACTTAACAGGAAGTTGAAAAGACTGTCAAGAGTGTTGCTGTACTGTACAAATGTACAACGGATTGTCATTGGGCAGTCATCATATCTTGATTTCCCATTTTGAGGTCCATAGAGAAATATATATATATATATATACACACATATATATATACACGTGTGTGTTTATATATATATATGTGTATATATACACGTGTATATATAGGCGTATTATATACTTGTACATATATGCGTATTATATACACACATATATACATATATACATATATACATATATACACGTATATATACACATATATATATACACACACATATATACATATATATACACACGTATATATATATATACACACACACATATATATATACATATTTTTCCATGGTTCAGGGAAAATTTCTTATCTCAGGGTCTGGCAACATAATAATAATAAAAATAATAAAATCTAAATAATAATAAACATACATAAAATTATAGAATTTCAAAGGTGATTAAATTGGTACAAATAAACTCCAACTAGAATTATGATAATGAGACAGAAAAAAAATACAATGGCTTCTGAAACACAGTGTTAAAAATTTCCCAAATATATATTTAAAAAGTGAGTAGACATGCTTAAAATAATTCTTCCAAAAATATTTTTCTTGAGAAACATTGATGGCATTTTGTTAATATTTGTCTAGCTTATAAAAAATAAAGTATTTATTTAAAATGAGATTTTTAAAATTATTAAGTTGATTTTGGGAGAAAGAGGCAGAAGCAGACATATCTACTGTTAAAATGTTTAAGAAGTCAAGTGGGAACCACTGGTTTTAACAAACTAATCTGGAAACTTCTCAAATCCCCCAAAAATGGCCTATAAATTCTTCAGTGTATTATATAGCAGAATTAAAAGTAAGCTGAATTTGGATAGTTACACTTGAATTGATGGTTATTGGATATTTCCCTGCCCAAACATGTGAATCTTTACAGCATATAACTTTATATAGTTTTTAGAAAGCATACAATTCTAAACTTCATTACTTTTCTAATCATTATAATTAAACTTGGGTTTGAATCTTCGATCCACCACTTGCTAGTTTTTTAACTTTCATAAGAAACTTACTTTTCCTAAGCATAGTTTCATAATGGGTAAAATAATGACACTAGGTACATATTAGATATGCAAAGTGTTTAACATAGGAAATGTAGCTGAAAGTAAATTGTCATTATTATTATTTATACTATTTAAATAGTTGCAATTACGTTTGATAGTGAAAAGTAGAAATACAAAATTTTACTTTTTTTCTTTTTTTTTTTGAGAACCTTGTATGATGGACTCATCTTTCCATTGGCACTAACATATTTTCCGGTTGCTATCGTACCCTTCGCAGTGTGGCATCTATATTTTCACAGTTCTGTTTTTTGCTATGAGACCAGTTCAGTAAAGAAATGATCTGGGTATTATTCAGCTTAGAGCTTAGCTACAGTGCATTTCTAATAAAATTATAGAAAACCGTATAAACCAATGTCACTATCTTTGTTGTAAACAATTGCTATAGATTATATCACTTATGTGGCCAATTAACATAAAAACGGTAACTGGAGGACTACGGAAGTGTTTTGAATTTGTACAAATCTACTCCTCTTACTAGACTACTCAATGAGTTTATTATTCTAACAAATTAATCTACATTTTTGAAATATAATATTATTTTCTCTATTCAATAACTTTGATAAAAGCGCAGATATATTCAGCGCAACAACAGAGGTTCTAGCAATTGTATCTTACTTGTACATTCAATATAGTTTTGTTTTCCTAATGCTTTTCTTCATGTTATAAAGTTCACATCCTAATTGACCTTAAGTTTGTAATATTCCTTTTCTTCTTAAGAAAATAATGAAGCTGGCCAGGCGCCTGTAATCCCAGCACTTTGGGAGGCCGAGGCGGGTGGATCACTTGAGGTCAGGAGTTCAAGACCAGCCTGTCCAACATGGTGAAACCCTGTCTTTACTAAAAATTCAAAACTTAGCTGGGCATTGTGAGGCATGCCTGTAATCCCAGCTACTTGGGAGGCTGAGGCAGGAGATTCGCTGGAACCAGGGAGGTTGAGGCTCCAGTGAGCCGAGATCGCGCCACTGTACTCCAGCCTAGGTGACAAAGCAGACTCTGTCTCAAAATATAAATAAATAAATAATGAAGTGTCTAGGAGCAGTGGGTCACCCCTGTAATCCTAGCACTTTGGGAGGCCAAGGCAGGTAGATCACTTGAGCCCAGGAGTTCGAGACCAGCCTGGGCAACATGGAGAAACCCTGTCTCCACAAAAAAAAAAAAAATACAAAAATTAACTGGGTGTTGTGGCACACACCTGTTTGTCTCAGCGTCTCAGAAAAGGAGGGGGGAGGATCACCACAGCCCAGAAGTTCGAGGCTGCAGTCAGCTGAGATTGCACCATTACACTGTAACCTGTGTGACACAGCAGAACCCAGTCTCAACAGTAATAATAATATTAACAATAACAGTAATGAAGCAGTTTCAAAAAACAATAGTTTCATCATTTCTATCTTCTTTCTTAGAATAAATTTTAAGCAACTAAAATATATTTTAAAACTTATGACAAAGTGCCAAGAAATAAAGACATAAATTGTCAGAATTAATAAGTACCATATCTCCTTTAATGCATTGTATGAAGGTAGTAAGGGTCATAAGTGACCCCCTGAAAAAAGAGTATTTGAGGACATTACACACACACAACAAAAAGCAAAAGTGACAAAAAAATTGAGGAGAAAATCTCACATGGGTTACATGACAATTGCCCTCAGTTCCTAAATAATATTCTAAACGTACTTATTAAACTAAGAAAAGTGTACAAACAATTCTGAAATAGAATCAGAATGTTCAAGCATGTCTTCTGCTTTTGAAATAATGAGAAAGATAGAGGAAAAACATAGTAGATGTATTTATTGGGTCAAAAGGAGCCTCCTCCTACCCACCACCAAAAATAATTTTTAATTACAATTGCTCTACAATCAAAGTTATAATTTTTCTTTCCATGAACAAGTTTCATAAATGTTTGCCCTTTATGAATTCTATATTCTTGTTGTTTAAATCAGAAATTTATTTTTATTTTTAATTCAGACTCAATATTTAGAACACATTTATGAAATGATAGGCTTAAGTGACTTAAATGTAATAATATCTTTGTTATGAAGGTGATTACATTAAACAGTTAAATCATTAGGCTAAGCAAGTTTAGTCATACTTAAAATAAAATGGCTGGTATATAAACTTCATAAGTGGAAAAAGAATCTTTAAACTGTATAAACTAAGAATAAAACCTACTTTGCCACATTAGTGGAATTTTATTGCCCTAATCTGATTGTAATTTATGTAAAATCTAAAGCTTGCTCACAAGTAATAGAGGATATGTTTATTAATCCAATCCTTTTGACTTAATTTATTAATTAAATTACCTCAAGGGAAGCATCCACTTACTTTGCCTCTGTGTGATTCAGCATTGTTTTATGTATTTTCAGAATTTGTTAGATGTTTGGTTATAAAGATCAATTGTTTTTGGTATAAAAACTCTGAGTCCATTCTCTGGGCATTACATTTAGTCAGAGAAGAAACACACCATTTCTACTTTTTAAAAGCTCATAGCATCAAGCTAATCTCAGAAACATCCACCTGAAATTGATTTCAATAAACTGGACCTACACGTGAGGCAGAGCATAGAAGTTTAAAGAAAGCCAAACTCTTTACTTCTTGGCAGCTTTTACTACTAATTATGCCATGAGCTCATCTTTAACTATGAGAGCAGCCTAGTCTCTAAGCTTGGCATTGCCACCATGAGGAGCATCAGGTTTCCACAGCAGCTCATGCTCCATCTGGATCCTTTTCTTGCCGTTGGAATGGAGTAAACTTGATGACTCAGTGAGCCAAGCACCCTCTACCACTTAAGTAATTCCTTGGCAACAAACAAAATGTTGGTACCTCTATGGGTTCACTAAAATGTAGTATCCTGAAACTATAGATTATTAAATTGCACTTGTTTGAACACACACACACACACAGATTACTAGTTTTCACATTTCCTGCAGATAGGCAAAAGACTTCGTATTTTTACATTTACATTTATTCTATCCATTCTTTTGCTGTTTCTGCTGATATAATGTGATTGCAGTTATGTTTTAGATACCTAATATTTAGCAGCCTAAAGGAAGTATTTTTATGTTAACTATACAGAGAATAATACATGAAGGACACCTAAAATTAATATTTAGAAAACCGAAGCTAAAATTTAAGAATTATGAGAGAAGGAGATATTAAAACCAATATCAGAGCAATACTAATTAAAATAACATAGAATTTGTACAAATAAAAATGACCAATGAAAGAATACTTTCCATTTCATGAAATATATATATACAAAAGTAATATGTAATAAAGTGTCATAAAGCAATGTGAAATAAATGAATTCTAATAAATTATGCTGAGAAAATTGTCTAAAGGAAAAGAAAAATTATGACTTCTTCACCTTCTGTGTGTCATGATAAATTTGACTAGCTCAGCCATTACTCATCTTTCTTCACTTTCACAGAATTCGTGTAACATACATCATTTTCCTGAAATATTTGTTATTTCACAGTAAAGGATATCTATACATTAATTATGACTAAAATGTTGGAACTTTTTTAGTGGGCAGGCTCCAGTGTTATAGCTGATAATTTCCAGTTATCTAACTCTAATGTCAATCCTATAAATTAGTGGTAGTGAATATTTGCCTGATTTTTATGCATTGAGATTATCTAACCAAACCATCTAAGCAAGATTGCAAAACAAAAACTTTTTTGTACCCAAAATAAGAGAGTTCAGGCAAATTACAAAAATAATTAATGAACGCTGTAAACTACTTGACAAAATATTATAGTATTAGGAATTTTGTATTTCTCAACCCACCATCAGTCTGTGCGAGGAAGACAGAAAGAAAACAATTGTTGTCAGCCTTCTGCATTTGTGTTCTGTTTGTTTTTGTTTCACGTTATGTTGCATTTTGTCTTTTTTATGGTGGATTATATGGACTCATTTCCAAATATGGTAGCTATCTTGCATTCCCAGGATAAATTGCACTTTTAGTCATGTCTATGATTTTTTAAATGTATATTTCTGGATTTTTTCCAGATCTTATTTATAACATAGCATGGAGTTTTCCATCAGAAGTCTTCCTTGTGTTAATTTCTCTAACTTTGTTCACATCCCTTATCAAAGTTTTTGGTCTTGAATTTGGACTTTGTAGGCTTTTATCATAATAGCATTATCTCAACACAAGTGCCTTTAAATTTACTATGAATATCCTTTAGTAGATTTAGAATGAACAAGTTAACCAGAATAGTTATACACATAGGAGGAGAGAGATAAGAACAACAGTTATAAAAGCAAGAAATAAATAATAACTACTTACCTCAGGTGTAACACATTTAAGTTTACAGAACTATAACTTTATTTTGTTATAATTAACTCTTCCTACTTTGGGCCCCAATCCCACTTAACTTCTAGGAAACATTTACATTTGTCTCCTCAGCAATGTTTCTGGTGAATGTGTGTAAGACAAAAGGGCAGAGGGGAGCTGAGGAGAAGACTGTGGAGTATTCAGACTTTCTGAGGCAGGGGAGCATCTTTCTCAGATGGTCATCCACACAGCTCACCACCAAGATGTCTTTTCTTCCTGTGTTTTCTGCCTGCCTTATCTGTGCCTATCTCTCAGAAGTCCTGGAGTCCAGTCAGTATTTCACAATATTCCAGAGGGCCAAAAAGACTTTGACAGGCTGTTGCTGTCACACTTCAAAACCACAAAGAGAAGCCCTTCCTTCTCTTCAGCGTTCCCACCTCCCCATTGCACATGGCCCCCCTGGGGAAACTCATGTAATTTTTTATTTTTGTGGCCTCCTATTTGTTTCTCTTCACTCAAATTCCAGACTCTCCATCCAGTCTAAACAAAATGGTTTGATAAAGTATAAAAATACTTCTCCTTATAATATTTTTCAAAGTTATTTATCCCTAATCTGTTTCTCCAAAGCCAAAACTAATGTGGCAAGTTCACAGACAATGGGAAAAAAAAACAAAAACAAATATTTCAGTGTATGACATTAAATGTTTACTTACATAGTTTTATTAAAAGAAAAAAATTACTTGCCAATACTTTAAAATTTTGATTTCCAGCTTCTCCTAAAAATTTTAAAACTTGGAATTCAGAAGATTTTCTTTCCTTCATCTCAAAAACTAGTGCTGAGTTCGCACTGATCATCTAAGAAGAAACTCATTTTCCCTATTTTGTTTTCAGCATTTCTGAAAACTGTGGACTTTCAGTTGCCTTTCATCAGTGATCTTTCACTCCAGTTTGCTCTTCACAGGACCTGCCTCGGATCTAATATGCATTTGGTTTTGCATCTAGGGCAAAAGGCTTAAGCTTTTGGAAACAGACACAGAGATTCTGGGAGGCTTTTTTTGTTTTTCTTTTTTCCTATCTTGTCATATCTCTTCCTGGGGGCAATGAGCACAGATCAATTAGTTGCTTCTGGGAGACCAAGGAAAAGAAGGCATATTGGAGGAAAGGACATCAATTGATATCTCAAAAATATTATTTCAAATTACATTATGAAGTATTATAATCATAACATTAATGTAAACAGTTTATCACATCTCTCAATATGTATATAATGCATTAGATTTAGTGCATTAGATGATTTTAAAGAGCCATCCATGAAACTCAACACCTTTTGAAATTTAATTTTAATGATGACTCGAATATAATTAATTTGAAGTAAAACCAGATGACTTAAAACATGAACATAAAATTTGAAATAGACAACTTACTTGAAAGTCTTTTGCAAGAGATGCAGAGTTCCAGCTATTATGTCATACTAGCTAAAGCTGCATTAAAATGAAACCAGAACTGTTTGTTTGTCTTTCAAAGGACCAGATCTAGTGTGTAAAAAGTTGACTTCCTTGCAGGTGGATACCATAAACATGTTGAGGTTATGCTAATGCCTCATAGACTGCTATATGCATAGTAGCACCTTGATATAATTGGGGAAAGAATGACCACATGCTAAATGAAGGACGTAAACAGGGACACATTACAAGCTTTCCATTCTTTTTTCATTAAATAGCAATATGACACATATTAAATTAAAAATGTGCCTTAAATATATTAATTATCTTTAAAAACAGTATCCATATTATTCAGCCATAAAGTAGAAACTCTTAGACTTATAAAAAGGTTCATATACATTTAATAGTAGGTGATGGATTTCTAAACATGTTTCCAGACTGAGTCATGCATGCTTCCTTACCTGTCTCTGCATCAGATAGCCTGCTTAGCAGAGAGTTTCTTTACATCATATTCTTATTATATTTCTTTCTTCTAGATGTTAATATTCCAATTTTACCTATAAGGAAATTGAGCCATGGTGGTTGAGAGCATGACACTAAATCAAAGTAAGTAGCAGAAGTAGGAATTGAACTAGGATTTGTCCATGAGACTATACAGTGTGGTTGATAATCACATGATTTGAATTTGAAGTGCTGTGTTTCTGTCCTGTGCACTTTTCTGTGCCTCACCTGTTCTTCATGTAGTTGTGTCATAGAATAAAATGTTTTCTTCTTCAACTTCTTCTGCTTTCTTTTCCTCATGCTTAGAGAAAACAGAATTCATGTTCTGATAATATAGGAAAGATAGAGACTGTTTTTTAATAGCAAGCAGCCTATCAAAATTATGCAAAAGTATAGGTGGACAGACTGATCTCTGACCTAGCTTACCTCCTTCACTTTTTAAATGAGGAAACTAAGTCCCAGAAAGGGCATGTGCTAGTTCAATTTAATTTAATATTGTTTGCTTATAACTCTTCCAAATATTATTTAGACAGTTCATAGAAAGGGCAAATATGGCAATATAGATAAAATGGGAAACTTAGATTAAATAAATAAAGTGAAATGACTGAAGCATTGACTAACACATCCCATTGCATTAACATAAATCCAAGTAGATAATTATAATAGTGTATGAAAAATGCAGTAAAAATATGTGTACAGTAAAGTGGTGAATCTGAGGAAATGTTTAATTCTGTATGGGGCAATCAAGAATTCTCTGAAAGGAAAGCTGTCATGAACAGGCATTAGAGTGTCGCCATATGATTCTCTCATGGGTCTCTGACTTGTGTAAAGTAAGCATGTGTAAAAGATTTTATTCAAATTACTAATTAATGAGGAAACCAGTAAAATAGTCATGCTATCTCCAAGGACATTCAAAAAGCAGAGTTTTATATAGACCATCACAAAAGACATTCTTATTTATTTTTTAAAAATGTCAAGATAAGATCATGAATGTAGATACAAAGTTAGAGATCCACTTTCCAAATCGTGGTATGAGATCTTCACGTTCACTTGCTCCACAACAAAACCATCACAGCTTGTAGAAATTATTTTTGAAAAATAACAACTATTTAAATTTCAGTAAGATCAGTGAAAATCTGTGATACTTGAGTCATTATCCAATCCTTTCCCTGCCCCTCTCCCTACACACAGCTCAATGAGAGTGAAGTTCTATCCTAGGCGAGTAACTACACTCAGTTCCCAGTCAGGGGCTACAGTATCTCCCTGGGAGAAGCAAGTTACCAGTATTTCATATAAATTCCTCTCCCCAGCCCCCTGCAGCTTGGCTTTGCAAAGCTAAATTTCAGGTGAGTAAGGCTGATATTGGGGTCTCTCTTCATTTTCCCAGCCCTCACTCATAGGTGGAAGTTTGATGCCAGGAATGGTAGGCAGGGAATACTGTGGCCTCAATCACCTACACCCTAGCAAACTCACAAGGTTCCCAAACTCACAAGGTTCCACACCAGGAAAGGGAAGCCAAAACAACCAGAGTCTACTTTCCCTGTCCAGCACCCTGCTCATAAATGAGAAGCATCATGCCAGGAGAAGTGTGCCACTGGCCTTGCCCACTGCTCCGGATCCCCAGTTCAGAGATTATACACAGGAAAGACAAACCATAGGAATGGGGAGATCCAAAAATCTCCCTCCCACCAACAAAATGACTTTATTCAGAACAGGGTATAGGAAAGTTTAGAACTAAAAGTCCTCTTGAATCAATGGAGATTCTGGTGGTTTGCAATGAAAAGAAGGCTAGTAGTGTAACTGAGTCCCCAGATTTTTCTAAGAGATAGTTTATTTTCCTCTTTCTTCTTTCTTTTCTCTTTCATCCTTTTTTCCACTCCCACTTAGCTCTTTAGAAATGCAATTATAGCCTTCTACTTCCTTTTCACCAGACACTCTCTACAGGGCAAGTTCATCTGACTATGTGTTTAGAAGTTCCAGCGCTAAACTCTTACACACCAGGAGGTTGCCTTGAGAGATAGTCAATTTACAGCCCAAAGTTACCTGCTAGAGAGTTCTTTGGCTGCCTTTACAGTGTATCTCTGCCCATGAAGCCACCAACCCAACTGCTTGGTAAATAAGGCACTAAAGCAAGTATGCAGGCTCCACACCTGCTCACTTCTGCCTCTGTGTAGTCCCCCCACTTTAAAAGTGCCCACATTCTGCTTCAAAAACAAAGCAGTATCCTTAAGGCAGAAAGCCTCTACTTCTTCCCCTAAGCAAGCTTTGAATGAAAAAGTCACTTTCTTTATACCAGACCTTGCTCTTGTTAATTGGACTCTGCAATTGGTGAGGTACTGAACCTGTGCTTTGGTTGCATGAGAAGAAGAAAAACTATACATCAGCTAGTTTACCAAAGAGAAGCAGGAAAATGAATGGCTAAGAAGGTCTTCGTGGGGTCAGAACAAACCTCAAAACTGGCCTTGTTAACAGTGGGTAGCTTATCAACCATGAGTGGGCAGGAGAGGGCCTCCCCTCCATCCCCCCATATCCCCCCACCCCCCACCACCAGGAATGTCAGATGACCATCAGGTGATGGGCAGGTGGTTGTTACACTGTTTCTCTAAAATAATAATGGGTCGTAGCTGGTGCCAGGAAACAGCAGTCCTCCAACAGAAAAAACCCAAGACTGGTGATCAGAAACTTCCTGTTAAGATCTCAGGAGTTGGGCGAGTGGGCTCAAGCATGCATATTAAGAGGCAAAATGGCAGAGTTTACCTGGTGTATGACCTTCTAGGAACACTCGACTGGTAAGGGAAGAATACCCCAAGCATGCATACCTACAACTCCAGTAAACACACTGTGTGTGCAGCCCCTCCCAAGTGCCAGCAGGCCACTGCGCATGCAGATGGCCCACCCTAAGGGAAGAATCAGGGGAGAAGTAATGCAAGACCCCAGAAGCATGCTGGCATATAGAACCCCAAGTCAAAAGGTCAAACCATGCACTTAATCTCTCAAGTTGCCCTCTTGGCCCTCTTCCAATTGTACTTTACTTCCTTTCATTCCTGCTCTTGTAACTGCCCAAGGGGTTTACCTAGCCTGCCTTCTGGACAGAGCTGATTCATCAAGATAAGGGAATTGCAATAGAGTAATTCACACAGAGGCGGCTGTACAGGAGACTGGAGTTTTATTATTACTCAAATCAGTCTCCCTGAGCATTCCGGGAGCAGAGTTTTTAAGGATAACTTGGTGTGTGGGGGTAAGCCAGTGAGCCAGGAGTGCTGATTGGTCAGGACGAAATCACAGGGAGTCAAAGCTGTCTTCCTGAGCTGAATCAGTTCCTGGCTTGAGAGGCCACAAGATCAAATGAGCCAGTTCATTGATCTGGGTGGCGTGGCGCCAGCTGATCCATCAAGTGCAGGCTCTGCAAAATATTTCAAGCACTAATCGTAGCAGCAGTTTAGGGAGGCTCAGAATCTTGTGGCCTCCCGCTACATGACTGCTAAACTGTAATTTTTAATCTTGTGGCTATTGTTAATCTAGTCTCCAGGCAAGGAGGAGGTCTGCTTTGTGAAAGGGCTGTTACTATCTTTGTTTAAACTATAAATTACAAACTAAGTTTCTTCCAAAATTAGTTCAGCCTATACCCAGGAATGAACAAGGACAGCGTGGAAGTTGGAAGCAAGATGGAGTCGGTTAAGTTGGATCTCTTTCACTATCTCAGTCATAATTTTGCAAAGGTACTTTCACTCTAAAGCTTTTTAATAAGCTTTCACCTTGGCTCTAAAACTTGCCTTGGTCTCTCTCTCTTTCCCTCAGTCTAATTCTTTCTGAGGAGGTAAGAATTGAGGTTGCTGCAGACCCATATGGATTCACCACCACTAACAGCTTCAAAATCTTTCCCTACAAAATGACTCATATTTAACGGATCAGAATGTGGAGCAATTTTTACTTTAGGTTTTTGTTGAAGACAATAGAATGATCAGCTGATATTAGTGGGACCTAGCAGCAGGATGTGATACTAACAGAAGTCTGAGCAGAGCAAGCAGGTAGACAGACAGTCAAAGAAAAGCCCTGTTAAAACCACAGTCATCCTAGGGTGACTGTATTCATGCCTAAGGCAGCACCTTCTTAGAAGTGACACCAGAAGCTTCACATTGTAGGGAAAATAGATTTCACTAAGTTATTTTGGCCAAGTTACTAAAAAAATAAGCAAGTTCATGTGAGGGGAAAAAATTTAGTACCCAGAGTTGCTACAACATATACTCTCAAATGTCTAGTTTTTAACAATAACAACAAAAATACGAGACCCGCAAGGGAGCAGGAGTATGACTCATACACAGGGGGAAATACCAGTAAAAAAAGGCCAAATGTTGAAGTAAACACTCAAAAACTTCAAAACACCAATGGTAAATATGTTCAAGAAAGGAAAGGGAATCATGCTTTACAAAAGTAAAGGAAGTTTTGGTTTTGAGGGTTTTTTTTCAAGATGGCAGATTGGAGGCAGTGTTAGCATGCCTCTCCCACTGGGACGCACAGAATAGTGGGTACAGATTCACACTGAGAAATTTTTCCCCTAGAACCACCACAGGAACATAGAAGGAAAACCAAAAGAATCCACAGACCCTCTGAAAGAAGCGACAGGCTACAGCCTCCTCCATGAGACAGGCAGAACACTGTACATTCCCAGAGTGTGAGAGGTGGAGAGTCTGCCTCCAAGCACACATCCCTATCAAGTAATCTGAAAATCCAGATCATGGTAGAAGGCCTTAACCCTACCCAGAGCTGGAGTGGATTCAGGAAGTGGTGTGAAATATACGAGTAGAAGCAGCAGCGGGAAGTGCATTGTAGGCATTTTCAGTGTCCAGAGTGAACGGAGGAAAGCCATTCCTGACTATGCCTCACAGGGGCCCTTGGGGAAGTCAGTCAATGAGTTCAGGGAGGGGTCACAGGGTGAAAGAAGCTCCCAGATGAATTTTGTGATATAATCTTGAGTGGGGACAAACTCCCTTGAACAAAACCAGGCGGATGAATGGGAAATGTGCTGCAGACACAAGCACAGAGCCGGGCACCTGGCCTCACAAGCAGACAGGGAGAGGCGTGGTCTGAGAGCCCTGATTGCTGTCTCTTCAGGGAAGTTTATGGCCTGGGCAGGTCTGAGTTCTGTGTGCAGACTGCCAGAATCTAAACTCATTGTTGTTGGTGGAGGACTGTGGGAGCAAGACCGGCCTCACCAACTGCATGGGAGCTGGATGAGGCTTACTGCTGCCTGCTACTCTCTACTCCTTTTGCTAACTTTTCTGTACAGCAGATACAGTTATATGTCCTTCTGGAACATTACCCCAGTGGCCTGAGAACCAGCCCCTATCTCCAACAGGAGCTGCACTCTGTCTTGCCCAAGGAGAATCTGAGTTCAGACCAACCTAAACCTGCCCCTACCTGGTGATATTTCTTCACCCACCCTGGTATCTTAACACAAAGGACATAAACTTTTGGGAGCTTTATGTTCTCACCCATTGCATGAGTAACCAGAATACTTCCCCTGGACAGCTTAGAGCAAGTTTAAAATCCCACTGCTACTACCACAACTGGTGCTCTCTTGAAAGCGCCACCTCCTGGCTGGAGGCCAACTGTATTGATTCATTCTTATGTTGCTATAAAGAACTGCCCAACACTGGGTGGTTTAATTAAATCACAGTTCTGCAGGGCTGGGGAGGCCTCAGGAAACTTACAATTAGGGCAGAAAGAGAAACCAACACATCCTTTTAACATGGTGGCAGGAAGGAGAAGAATGACTGCCCAACAAAGTGGGAAACTCCTTATAAAACCATCAGATCTCATGAGAATGCACTCACTATCACAAGAACAGGATGGGGGAAACTGCCCACATGATTCAATTATCTATACCTGGTCCCTCCGTGACACATGGGATTATGGGAACCACAATTCAAGATGAGATTTCCGTGGGGACACAGCCAAACCATATTATTTCACTCATGGCTCCTCCCAAATCTCATGTCCTCACATTTCAGAACACAATCATGCCCTTCCAACAGTCCCCCAAACTCTTAACTCATTTCAGCATTAACACAAAATTCCAAGTCCAAAGTCTCATCTGAGACAAAGTAAGTCCCTTCCATCTATGAGCCTGTAAAATCAAAAGCAAGTAAGTTACCTCCTAGATACAATGGGGGTACAGCCATTGGGTAAATTCACCCATTCCAAATGGGAGAAACTGGCCAAAGCAAAGTGGCTACAGGCCCCATGCAACTCTGAAAGCCAATAGGGCAGTCATTAAAGCTTAAAGTTCCAAAATGATCTCCTTTGACTCCATGTCTCACATTCAGGTCATACTGATGCCAGAGGTGGGTTCCCACAGCCTAGGGCAGCTTTGCCCTTGTGACTTTGCAGTGTACAGACTCCCTCCCTCCTGGCTTTTACAGGTGCATGATGCAGGCTGTCAGTGGATCAACCATTTTGGGATCTGGAGGATAGTGGCTTTCTTCTCACAGCTCCACTAGGAAGTGCCCCAGGGGAGACTCTGTGTGGAGGCTTCAACTCACATTTTTCTTCTGCACTGCCCTAGCAGAGGGGTTCTCTATGAGAGCTCTGCCCCTCTAGCAAACTTCTGCCTGGACATCCAGGTGTATCCAAGTAGCCTCTGACATCTATGCAGAGGTTCCCAAACCTTGATTCTTGTCTTCTGTGCATCTGCAGGCTAACACCACATGTAAGTTGCCAAGACTTGAGGCTTGCACCCTCTGATGCAAAGGCCTGAAATGTATGTTGGCTTCTTTTAGCCATGGCTGGAGCTGAAGCAGCTAGAACACATGATGCCACGTCCTGAGGCTGCATAGAGCAGGTGACCCTGGGCCCAGCCCACAAAATCATTTTTTCCTGCTAGGCCTCTGGCCTCTAATGGGAGGGGTGGCTGTGAAGGTCTTTGACATGCCCTGGAGACATCATTGTCTTTGTGATTAACATTTTGCTCCTCGTTACTTATACAAACTTCTGCAGTTGGCTTGAATTTATCTTCAGAAAATGGGTTTTTCTTTTCTATCACATCGTGAAGCTGCAAATTTTCCAAACTTTTATGGTCTGCTTCCTTTTGAACCCTTTGCCACTAAAAAATTTCTTCCACCAAACCCGAAATCATCTCTCTCAAGTTCAAAGTTCCACAGATCTCTAGGCACATGCAAAATGCCACCAGTCTTTTTGCATAGCAAGAGTGACCTTTACTCCAGTTCCCAACAAGTCTCAGCCTGGACTTCCTTGTCCATATCACTATCAGCATTTTGGTTAAAGCCTTTCAACAAGTCTCTAGTAAGTTCCACACTTTCCCACATCTTCCTGTCTTCTTCTGAGGCCTCCAAACTGTTCCAACTTCTGCCTGTTACTCAGTTCCAAAGTTTCTTCCATAGTTTTGGGTATCCTTATAGCAGCACCCCACTTTACTGGTATCAATTTACTGTATTAGTTTGTTCTCACGCTGCTAATAAATACATACCCAAGACTGGGTAATTTATAGAGGAAAAGGTTTAATTGATTCACAGTTCTTCATGGCTGGGGAGGCCTCAGGAATCTTACAATCATGGTGGAAGGGGAGGCAAACATGCCTTTCTTCATATGGCAGCAGGAAGAAGAATAAGTGCTCAGCGAAGGGGGGAACCCGTTATGAAATCATTAGTTTTCATGAAACCTAACTTACTATCATGAGAACAGGATGGGGAAAACCACCCCCATGATTCAATTATCTCTGCCTGGTCCCTCCCAGGATGCGTGAGGATTATGGGAACTTCAATTCAAGATGAGATTTTGGTGGGACACAGCCAAACCATATCACAAATCAACACACGTCATTACAGCAACTCTCTGTAGAATAACTGCACCCAGGAAGGAGAAAATACCTGTGTGATCTCAGCTATCACCCCTGACTGTAACACTCTGGCAGACCAGAGGTCCTGAGCCTCTCCACCTGAGAAGTTCACTACAATTATAATCAGCATTTGAGAAAGTCAGCACACTAAGCCTATCTAAAACCAAGGAATCTCACACAGTCTGCGTCACTCTTCTGCTACCTCCATTAGAGCAGGTGCCGGTATCCTCTGCTAGGAGACTTGAAGATATGTTCCATCACTGGATCCGTTGTAGTCATTTCCCATCACCAGCCTACAGTCTGATAGCCCCAGTAGATGTCTAGACACAGAAGAGCAATAATAATCACTGTAGTCTGGTTCTCAGGAAGTCTCATTCATAGGGGAAGGGGGAGAACACCACATCAAGGGAATACCCCAGGGGACCAAATAATCTGAACGGTAGTCCTTTAGATCTTTCTGATGCTGGGAAGTTTCTTACAGCAGAGACACAATTGCACTGATGGATGTAGTAGGGAAAGTCTGCACCCTTACCCCAATGAGCAGGTGTCCTCCACAATCATGAAGCGTATTAAAGAAGGAGTCCTTCTTGCCCCCTGATACACCACTGGAGACACAACTGGGGCTTCTCCAATGGGAACGTAGTGTGGATGTACCTAAAGATAGCCTTCCCAGAATAATGCAGGGTGATTGCAGTTTCGTAGAAGGAGCACTCCCCAGATTCCTGCCTGCACAAGAGGAAGTCATAATTTTTTACACTTGGAATATAAACATTCCTAGAGATAAAAAGAGATATCTGTCTGATCTGAATAGCATGTATTAGTCTGTTTTTATGCTGCTGATAAAGGCATACCCAAACTGGGCAATTTACAAAAGAAAGAGGTTTAGGGGACTCACAGTTCCACATGGCTAGAGAGGCCTCATAATCATGGCAGAAGGTGAAAGGCACATCTCACATGGTGTCAGAAAGAGAAGAGAGCTTGTGCAGAGAAACTTCCCTTTAGATCTCATGATCAGATCTGAACCATCAGATCTCATGATACTTATTCACTATCACGAGAATAGCACAGAAAAGACTCACCCCCATGATACAATTACCTCCCACTGCATCCCTCCAACAACACGTGGGAATTGTGGGAGCTATAATTCAAGATGAGATTTGGGTTGGGACACAGTCAAATCATATCTTTCTGCCACTGGCCCCTCTCAAATATAATGTCCTTACATTTCAAAACCAATCATGCCTTCCTAACAGTCCTCCAAAGTCATAACTCATTTCAGCATTAATTTGAAAGTCCACAGTCTAAAGTTTTATCTGAGACAAGGCAAATCCCTTCTGCCTATGAGCCTGTAAAATCAAAAGCAAGTTAGTTACTTCCTGTATGTAATGAGGTTATAGGATTGGAAAATACACCCATTCCAAATGGGAGAAATTGGCAAAAATGAAGGGGCTAAATGATCCATCCAAATCTGAAATCCAGAGGGGCAGTCAAATCTTAAAGGTCCAAAAAAAAAAAATAAAAGATATCCTTTGACTCCATGTCTCACATCCAGGCCACGCTGATGCAAGAGGTAGGTTCCCATGGTCTTGGGCAACTTCACCCCTATGCCTTTGATTTTGCACTGGCTAGTGTTGAGTGTCTGTGGCTTTTCCAGTCACACAATGCAAGCTGTCAGTGGATCTACAATTCTGGGGTCTGGAGGATGGTGGCTCTCTTCTCACGGCTCCACTGGACAGCACCTCAGTGGGGACTGTGTGTGGGGGCAGCCACACCACATTTTCCTTCCACACTGCTCTAGCAGAGGTTATCCGTTAGTGCCCCACCCCTGCAGCAAACTTCTGCTTGGACATTCAGGCATTTTTATACATCCTCTGAAATCTAGGCAGAGGTTCCCAAACCTCAATTCTTGCACCCACAGGCTCAACACCTTGTGGAAGCTGCCATGGTTTGGGGCTTACACCATCTGAATTCACAGCCTGAGCTGTACCTTGGCCCCTTTTAGTCACAGCTGGAGCAGCTGAGATGCAGGGCACCAAGACCCTACACTGCACACAGCAGAAGGACTCTGGGCACCACTCATGAAACAATTTTTTCCTCCTGGGCCTCTGGGCCTGTGATGGGAGGGGCTGCCATAAAGGTCTCTGACATGCCCTGGAGATATATTCCCCATTGTCTTGGTGATTAACATTTGCCTCCTCATTAATTATGCAAATTTCTGCAGCTGACTTGAAATTCTCCTCAGAAAATGGGATTTTCTTTATTATCACATTGTCAGGCTGCGTATTTTCCAAACTTTTATGCTCTGTTTCCCTTTTAAAATGGAATGCTTTTGTATTAGTCCATTTTCATGCTGCTGATAAAGACATACCCTGGACTGGGAAGAAAAATAGTTTTAATGGACTCATAGTTCCACGTGGCTCAGAAAGCCTCAAAATTATGGTGGAAGACAAAAGGCCCTTCTTACATAGTAGCAGCAAGAGAGGATGAGAAAGAAGCAGCAGCAGAAACCTCTTATAAAACCATCAGCTCTCATGAGACTTATTCACTACCACAAGAAAATTATGGGGGAAACTGCCTCCATGATTCAATTTTCTCCCACCAGGTCCCTCCCACAACACATGGGAATTATGGGAGTACAGTTCAAGATGAGAGTTGTGTGGGGATACAGAGCCAAACCATATCAGCTTTCAACAGCACCCAAGTCACTTCTTGAATGCTTTGCTCCTTAGCAAAGGGTAGGGTATCCTGCCAGATACCCTAAATCATCTCTCTCAAGTTCAAAGTTTAACAAATCTCCAGGGCAGAGGCAAAATGTTGCCAGTTTTTTGGCTAAAACATAACAAGTGTCACCTTAGCTCCAGTTCCCAACAAGTCCTTCATGTTCATTTGAGACCACCTCAGCCTGGATTTCATTGTCTATATCATTATCAGCATTTTAGTCAAAAACATTGAACAAGTCTCTAGGGAGTTCCAAACTTTCCTCTCTTCTTCTGAGCCATCCAAACTGTTTGCAACTCTGCCTGCTACCCAATTCCATTTCAGGTATCTTTTCAGCAGCACCCCACTCTACTGGTACCAATTTACTGTATTAGTCTGTTTTCATGCTGTTGGTAAAGACGTACCTGAGAATGGGCAATTTACAAAAGAAATAGGTTTATTGGACTCACAGTTTCACGTGGCTGGGGAGGCCTCACAATCATGGCAGAAGGTGAAAGGCACAGCAAACATGGTGGCAGAAAGAGATGCAAGCTTGTGTAGGGATATTTCCCTTTATAAAACCATCAGATATCATGAGACTTATTCACTATCGTGAGAATAGCATGGGAAAGACTCACCCTCGTGATTCAATTACTTCCCACCTGGTTCCTCCCACAACATGTAGGAATTGTGGGAGCTACAATTCAAGATGAGATTTGGGTGGGGACACATCCAAACCATATCACTGCAACACTGGGACAGGAGTGAGGCTGTGAGTTGGAGAGTTTTCCTGCTGGCCTGACAGGGGAACTGAGGTAGCTCTCATCCTTCACCCTGATAAAACCTCAGCATATCTAATTGAGAGCTCCCTCAACCACCTTCATCAAGGCTGGGACCTCTGCTCACCATGGGGTATTACAGCTACTCACCTGTTTTAGCTATAACCAATGCCTACCACGGATACCTTTCCTATTGGCTTGAAGCCTGAATCATCACCTCAGTAAATAAAGTGTATGAGCTGTCTTCAGGAGACTCACCTAATGCATAAGGACTTGCATAAACTTAAGGTAAAGAATTGGAAAAAGCTATTTCATGCAAATGGAAACCAAAGCAAGAAGGAGTAGCTAGTCTTATATCAGACAAAACAGACTTTCAAGTAATAACAGTAAAAACAAAAACAAAAACAAACAAAAAAAAACAAAGAAAGACATTATATAATAATAAAAGGATCAGGCTAACAGAAAGAAATTGCAATCCTGACTTCATATGCACGTAACAATGGAGCTCCTAGATTTAGAAAACAATTATTACTAGACCTAAGAAATGAGATAGACAGGAACACAATGATAGTGGGGGACTTCAATAATCCACTGACAGCACTAGAAAGGCCATTAATACAGAAAGTAAACAAAAAAACAATGGATTTAACTATACCTTAAAACAAATGAAAGTTGTGGATATTTACAGAACATTCTTCCCAACAACTGCAGAATAGAGATTCTTCTAATCAGCACATGGAACATTTTCCCAGATAGATCATGTGATAGGCCAAAAACGAAATCTCAATACATTTAAGAGTATCAAAATCATATCGAGTACCTTCTCAGACCACAATAGAATAATACTGGAAATCAACTCTAAAAGGAACACTCAAAGCTATACAGATATATGGAAATTAAATAATCTGCTCTTGAATGATTTTGGGGTTAACAAGGAAATCAAGAGGAATATTTAAAAATTATTTGAAATAGAATATTTCACAATAGAGATACAATTTATCAAAATATCTGGAATATAGCAAAAGTGGTGCTAAGAGGAAGGTTCATATCATTAAATGCCAAAATCAAAAAGTCTGAAAGACCACAAATAGGCAACCTAATGTTACACCACAAGGAACTAAAGAAACAAGGACAAACTTAACCCAAACCCAGGAGAAGAAAAGAAATAACAAAGCTCAGAGCAGAACTCAATGAAAATGAAACAAACCAACAAAGGAAATACAAAAGATAAATGAAAAAAAAACCTAGTTATTTGGAAAGATAAGCAAAAC